>NC_000010.11:86203701-86355216 GCF_000001405.40 Homo sapiens
GCGCCATGAGCACACCACTCTGACGCTGTCTTCTGACTGAGAACCCCAGCTCTGGGGTTCTCCGCTCACCTCCACCCTCCAGGTCTGAACCAGCAAACATGACAGGTCTCTGCCAATCCCTCTCTTGCACCATGGAAGCCTCACAGACTGATCATGGTGTTTTCTGCTGCTGAGCCCACACACGGCCTCAGAATCCTTCCCAGCACAGCTCCCAAGCAGCCTCAACCAACCAGCTGCAGTGGTCCTCCAGATGAAAGCTACTGGTCACTTGGCGACTTTATGGAATTACTGATAAGGAGCAGTCTGGTTGGAAACTAACTTCAACCCCACCAAAGGTAGCAAAGGTGTCCATGTCAGAAAAGAGGAACACAGCTTTTGATCACATTGGAGATTCTGGGTGGAGGAAAGAAGAGGGGTGGGGGAGTGTGACTGTAGAATACAACCTGTTTCCTAGCCTACACCCCTTCCCTGCTACCTCATAGTCAGAGGTCAGACCATCCAGTACCCTTGTCCTTCTCCCCATTCCTCCTTTGTTTTGTGTGAAAATGGCTTGAAAACTCCATGTCCCCATCCATGAATGTGTCGAGGGGCTACTCTATGCCAGGCACCATGCAGGCTGCAGGGCCATGGTGGTGGGAAGCACACAGCCACTCTCCCGGACTTCACTGCATCACCAGGCAGTCCAGCACTCATGGAGGACTAGCCCTCATGAGAGTCAGGACAAGCCAAGAGCAGGCTGAGGGCAGGACGAGCATGTCTGCGAGAGCGTGTAACCAAGCTGCCAGCTCTGTAGGACAGGTGGGGCTCAGGGACACCTTTCTTTGAGGACCTGCATCTTGAGAAGAGTGAGGGTAAGGAGGGTAATAAGAAAACAGGACTTGGGCAAGTGCCACCAGGCCTTGTTCAGTCTGCAGGAGTCACAGGAGCCCAGGCGGGTGGGCAGGCTAGAGAGCTGATCACCTGCCCTCCCAGCGGCTGAGGCTCCCATCAAGGTCGCCTCCCAGGCTCTAGGGGAAAACTGTGTCTGCAGGCCAGATTGGAAACAGAGCAATGGTGCCCAGAGAAAGTGAGATGGGAAGGGCCTGGGCACACTGGACCACAGCACCCCCATCCCTGGCAGTGTCCATGCCTCTCCACAGGGTTCAGCCTCAGAGCAGGCTGGACTTTGGGGTTGAGCCACCAGCCCCAAGGGTTCTCGGGGAAGGCCTGGCCCCTAAGAGATCCCTGCAGGCAGCTCGGGGCTGTTACAAAATCTCCAACTCCTCACCAAGGGCCAGGGACTGAGCAGGAGTGGGAGGGTGGGAGGGAGAGGCCAGGTCCTGGACTGAGTCCAGTTCAGGTCCTGCCCTTGTCCCCATCCACCTCATCTTTATTTCAGCACAGTGACTGTTTGCTCTTTCAATTCTTCCTGGAAGACTCCAAACAGCATATTTGCTCAAGAGCTGAGGACAACATTCCAGTCTTAGAGAAGAAGAGTATTTAGGCAAATGCAAACATATGCTGATTTCTTTTCTTAGTTACATTCTTGGCAAAGAAATTATATCACCCAGAGACAAAATGGGACTTTTGAAGGTCCACCCATTCCATCCTGGCACCAGCCGTGGGGCTGCCAACCCTCATCAGTCTCCCACACCCTCTAACATGTTATGGAGGTGGCTGTGGCTATAAAGAGGTAGCACAGGGATCCTTGTGAAGGAACTGCTCTGTATCCTGACTGGTGGTCATAGGAATCTACACATGTGATTTTTAAAATGCATAGCAGTAAATCCACACCTGCAAGAACACGTGCACTACTGAAATATGAACAAGGCCTACAGGCTGTATCAAATCCTGGTTGCAATATTGTACTACAGCTATGCAGGATGTTACTGTGGGGGAACCTGGGTGAAGGGCACGCTGGATCTCCCTAGGTTGCTCCTTATAATTGCATGTAAATCTAAATTATCACATAATTTTCAAAAAAATTGTTTAAACACTAAACATGGAAACCATTCTATCTCAGGATTAAGACTAGTCTGTTTTTACAGAGCAGTCATAAGAAAACCTGAAGCCATTTCTCCAAAGCCCATTTTTGTGGTTTCCTAACAAGCAAATTATGATTTTTTTTCATATGAGAGGTCTTCAAAGAAGCCATGCCCAGCCCTACCCAGTGTTCCCAACCCCCAACCCCAGCCTGGCTCCATGACACTCAGGGCATTCCGTCCCCTGACCTTTGCCCCAGCCTGGAACCCTGAAACTGAAGGCAGATTGCGATGGATGGAGGCAAGGAGCCAGGAAGGCCAGGCAATCGTCCAGTGTGAAGGGCACTCTTTGGAGAGGAGACCTCCAGGAGGAACCATGCTTTCCAGCCTCCATCTGTGCCAGCATACAGCCCTTTGGATCCCTGCCAGCAGTTTATTAATATTTTATTGAAACCTCTAAGATGATTCAAACTTCAGCCGTCATGATAAGGTGTTGTTGCTAGGCAACTTTATACCTATCTATGGAGCTGTTGTTGCAGCTCTTCCTGACTCATGAAGCTCGAGGTTTGACCCTATCACCTGGAGGCCCACTCAGCACAGACCACCCCTGACCGGTCCAGGGCCCCACCCACTCTCAGGTCTCCCAGCATCTGGCCATCCCTGTCCCCAAGCAGCCCCAGCTCGCCTGCCGGACAACTCACCATACTCGCTGTCGTAGAACATGACGAACTTCTGCCAGCGCAGCTCCGTCACCAGCCTGAGCATGACATCATTGAGGCGGACGGGTGGTCTCGAAGCCAGTGTGTAGGCCTCACCATCGGGGCTGGGGTTCAGGTGGCATGCGGTGCGTGGCGACCCTCCCGGGTTGCGCTGGACAAAGAGGTGTGGGATGTGCATGGCATCCGTGAGGGACTGCAGGGCATTGGCAGATGCACAGCCAGTGGACGTGACCAAGGCCAAAATCCCCTGGGTCATGAGGTCACAGGCTAGAAAGAGAGAAGAGAGAGAGGAAGGGGTCAGCATCAGGGCGATGCTGCACCAGCTTCAACCTGCAGGCCCCATGCCTGGCAGCTCATGCCCAGGACTCCCAAGAGAGGCTGCCTCCCTCCAGGACCAAGAACCATCCTGGGCAGGCCAGTGGCTCTCATAAGCACAGCCTCACTGACATCCTTGGTGAAAATGCCAGCTATACATTCTTGTACCCATTTAACATGAGAAAATAGAAGTCAAAACGGGCAAAACCATTTGCCCTAGGCTAGTCAGGGAAGGATGGTAGAGCACAGATCCATCCCAAATCTGCCTGATTCACCCCCACTGAGCTGTAAAATTAGCCATCCTGTTTCCCACCTAGGACTATAAGCCCTTTAAGAGCCAAAACGTCATTGTGTTGATCTGTGCATCCTCATGCCTAGCCACAGGCAGAGAATATACTGTGTGTTCTACAACTGTTGACTGAACTGAACTGATTGGGACTGAAGGGACTAAATGGCTTCTGAAAGTCAGAGAGGTACTTACCCAAGAGGACCCAAGATGTAGGAAAAAAATAAAAAAGAAAAGAAACCCTAGGTCTTCTGGCCAAATCCAAGTGATCCATATCACAAAAATACTGGGCCAAACCCCAGATGAAGCAGTTGTTCCAGAAGGATTATTCAAAAGCCACTTGACAATAACAAAGAAAGACGTTCCCGCCACTCAGGCAGTTACCACGGGTGTGGAGGAGGAACACAGCGGACGCTCCAGCAGCCGCTTCTAGGGCTGACACGCTCAGGGGCTCATCTTTACAAGTTCTCCTGTAACTGCAAGAGGCGCCCCTTGTAGCCACGTGCGTACACTTTTTTGGGACATCAACCAATTAATAGAAAGATGCACCTCCCAACGCTGCAACCCACTGCACCAGTTTTGAAGCAAACATCTCTTACTAATGGTTTATGCGATGGCAAGGATGTGGAGAAGCAGATGCAGTTTCTTTTTTTTTTTTTTTTTTTTTGAGACGGAGTTTCGCTCTGTCGCCCAGGCTGGAGTGCAGTGGCGCGATCTCGACTCACTGCAAGCTCCGCCTCCCGGGTTCACGCCATTCTCCTGCCTCAGCCTCCCCTGTAGCTGGGACTACAGGCACGCGCCACCATGCCCGGCTAATTTTTGTATTTTTAGTAGAGACGGAGTTTCACCGTGTTAGCCAGGATGGTCTCGATCTCCTGACCTCGTGATCCGCCCGTCTCGACCTCCCAAAGTGCTGGGATTACAGGCGTGAGCCACCGCGCCCGGCCGCAGATGCAGTTTCAAAACACAGGCTGTGAATGGCAGCAGGCCATCTGCTGCACACAGCAGACTTTGAACAACTTTTGACAATGCAGTTCTTTTGGTCAAGAGCCCTTGGGTTTATGTAATGCCTCAGATAAGGCTGGGAGAGAGAGAGAAGAAAAGGGGGAACTGACCCCAGGGAGCAAGGCAGTGGGAGGCAGGGGAACATGTGGGAAGGGGAGGGTCCCCCCACACTCTCCAGCAGCAAAGACCGGCTGCCCTCCATGCAAGGGCGCTCGCCTTGCACCTGCATGAGCACCAGCAGGAAGAGAACCCAAATCCTACGGTTCTCTCCTCTTCAAGGCCACCGGCAGGGGGTAGCTAAACAAGAGATGATGAGATCTTGTGAATCTCACAGTCCCCCAGATGCCCTGGCCCCCTCCTACCCCAGCTCCAGTCTGCTGAGTTCTCTCCTAAACAGAAATCCATTGCGTGCCCTGCTGTGCCCCCCAAGAGCCTAGGGATAAAGTAAAAGCCCACTCCTGAAAGGGTGGTCTTGCAAGCTCCCATACCTGCAGCCTCATGCTCCTCACCACACCCTTTTCTGCTACATCCCAACCAACTGCCCACCCTGGACCCTCAAACTCACCTCTTCAATCCTGATGCTCACTCTTGCTTCAAAACTCAGACTCAGCATCCCCAGACTGGCTCATAACCCTTGTGGCATTATCCCCCTTCACTGCACTTCCCTGTCATGAGCCACATGTTGCCTGTGTTACTGGCTGGCTCTCCAACTTGACCCCAGGCTCCAGGAGGACCAGGGTCATGCCTGCTGTGTTCACCATCCTTTCCCAGACACAGGCTAAGCCCAGTTCACAATAGCAGTAAAGACTCGTGCAAGAACACCATGCAAGAATTTCCATGGCCCCAGTCAATAATTCCTCTCTGGGTACCTGTCCAAACCGTAGGAACAGCACTCAATCCAAAACCATTCAGAGGACACTATCCATACTCTTGGAATATTGCTAATGATCTAAAAGATGCAAATAGATGAGTGGTTATGAAAGTGCCCCATTTTCTGAAAGTATATATAGCCTTTAAACTAGTCAAGAAGATACTACAATAACATGGGAAAGTGCCTGTCATAAAAAAGGTAGGTGAAAGTGATACAAAATTGTATGTATTTTATTTTATCAATTAAATAAAACATCAACATGCATGAAAGAAAAACCAGAAGGAAATATTGCAAAATGTTAAAAGTGACTGCAATTTAGAAGAAACCTGAAAGTGGTTTTCATTCTTTTCTATATTAGCCAAAATTTTGTGACATAAACAGATAATTCCTTTTAAAAAGAAAAATAATCCTCTGATAATGGATAAGCAGGAAAACTACACAGGAGGAAGGACTATTGTGTGAGAATTGCCTCTGTGCCAAATTCTCTTGGCGTCCTTTGTACATGTGAATTCACAGTATTCTCAGGACATTTGTGTAGAGTAGGTATCATTGCATCCATTTTCCAGATAATGAGATGTGAGGCCACACAACGAACACTGCCACAGACATGGGGAAAATGCTTCTGAGAGATGGTCACGTGAAAATACCAGGGCACAAAATTATATGCTAACTATGATTACAGCTAGGCAGAAAGCACACCCATGAAAACAGCAAGAGAAAACACTAAAAGCTAAGGCACTATGACAATACGTGGATATTTTTTCTTATGCATGCTCTCTTTAATGCCAATACAATACATTTATAATCTTAAACAGCAATTGTATAAAATAAACTGTATATCCCTGGGACGTAAATTGTCCAGGAACTCCAATGCTCAATTGTGGAATTGTCCCATCCCAGGACTCCCACGGAGAGTCCTCCTTGCAGCCATCAGTCACTTTTGGCTCTTGTTGCCCCACCTGCCTGGCTCCCTCCCAGGTCATCATCTGTCCCCACTCCATATATGTCAGGTTCTGAAGTGGCAGAACCTCTCTGAGCCTCAGTTTCCCCATCTGGGCATGCATGCCACTGGCTCCTGCCCTCCTTGTCTCATACATACACTTGGTATCCCTGCCCACACCCCACAAGCCAGCCCCTGCCCTAAGCACTGTCAGGGGGAAGAGCAGGATGACCACAGGTCCCATCTTTGAGGAGCTTAGGATCCACTGAGGAGACAGACTCTGCAACTCAACTGGAGGAGAGAGAAAGGAAGCTCCCTGGGACACAGAGGAGGGTAAATTCATTTGTGGTTGGCACCAGGGCCTCAAAGGAAGGAAGGGACTTAGAACCTTTCAGGGTCTCAGGAGAGCAGCACAAGGTGGGTGCAGAGTGACAAAGACATATAGCCGGGCTGAACCCTCACCAGCTACCACCTCACCAGGGGTGGTGGGAAGAGCATTCGGATCTCAAGCATTCATTCACCCAAGTTCCAGTTTTGGCTCCTCCGGTCAGTAGCCACACAGCCATGGGCATGTCCCTTTCTCAGCCTCCATTTTCTATTAAATAGGAATAAGAATCTCTACCCAGCAGAGCTACGAGAGCACTGACTTAGGACGCTGATAGCAAGTGCCAATGCCTCACAGTGCACAAGATGCTGAACAGATGTCAGCCTCCTGCCCCTTCCTTGGACATCCCATCTCTCCACCAAAGTCATGCCCAGGATCTTAAGTACTAGTAGTCACAGGCAAGAGCCATCTCGCCCTCCCCGTGGAGGTGAGCACTGCCGGCCCACCCCTCGTGGAGCCACCTGCAGCGTTGTAAGCGCCAGGCCTCCACAAAAAGGGTGGGTAATTAAGGCTGGAAGCCTCTCCCAGGCGCTAATGGAGAGGCCCGATGTGAGTCAATTTCCAATCCACTGTGAATGGCCTGCTAATTGGGGCACTGTTGAAATGATGGTTATTTGGAGGCTTCTAACATAAAAATAATAAGATCAAAATACATCAGATCAAAGCCAAATCAGCTATTAGCTTAATCAAGGTTGTGTGTGATGGGATGTTACACAATGCATGCCCTGGTTGTTGTGACAGATGCTGAACCCCAGGACTGGGACTGGCCACCTGGCCGGAGTCCGGGGCCTGCCCTGGTCACAAGCTGGGACTGTGGGTGAGGGCTGGTCCTCTCTGGGTTACTGGTTGGCTTTCTCTTTATTTCTTTCTGTCTTTCTTTCTTTCTTCTTGGGGGGGTCAAATAAAGATGATGGCTCCCTCTTCACAGGGCTGCTCCATGTGTGCCATGAAAGGTCTTTATATGTGGACAGCCATTCATGCTGCCTGGCACATAGTAGCAACTCAGAAGTCATCGCTACCTAGGATGATGCTCAAAGATGTTTTTACAGCTCTCTAGAGGATAACAGCTTTTGTTATAATTCTTTGCCTCCATATTATATGGTCACAAAGCTGATGTCTCTCTTGATTACAACACAGGCTTGATGGACTGATAAGGGCCCCCTGAGAATGACCCATCCATCAGCTGGGAAAGTAAGTAAAGACAAACTGTAATGAGCGGCTTCCAGCCCCCCCACCTGCACCCTGTGTCCTGGGAAAGTGGAGGGTCCCCACAAAAGAAAGGGCTACTCAGAGCTCGGCATTGGGGGTGTGGGGGGTGCCCAGACAGCATTCGCAATACAACTGCACAATCCACAGTCACATTCCCACCTGCTTCCCTGGAGAAGATGTTCACATCCCACCCATCCAGGCTTTTCCAGACAGCGGACTCTCAGGGGTGGGACATGTCAGGTGAGGTACTGGCCACTTCACAGAACAAACTCTCAGTAACTCTCACCCCAGGTGAGCTTTCTGATTTCCCTGGTTAAAAAAAAAAAATCAGAGCACAGAGAGTGCTAGTTGCTTGGCCAGGGCCACACAGCCAGAGAGCAAACAGCAAAGAGAACACCAGACCACCAGGCACCTCTACATCCAATGCTGCAAAGAGAAAGTGGCCAGCAGGGGACAGAACCCAGGATTCCAGGCTGACTCTACCCAACTGTCCCTGGATAGAAATCCCCAGGGCACCTCCCGGCTCAGTGCAGGCCCCAGGGAAGGAGTAGGCAGGCAGGAACAAGGCCTGTCTCCCCTGAAAGCAGATCCTTGACTCATCAAGTCACTGGGTGCCTGCAGGTGGGTGCTGGAGGTGAGAAAGGTGCCCTCAGACATTGAGGTCACTCTAGGCGCCATCACTAATCCATGCCCACTATTCTCCATCCCCGTGGGGATTTCTGGAACATTCTCAGAACAAGGCTGTGGGAAGCAATACCCCAGAAGGCATGTGTTAGAAGAGACCCACGGTTCCTGGTGCCACCCCCCAGTCACGACACTGGCCACTGCCAGCTCAGCCTTTCCCTCTGTCAGGTGCCCTGGAGGCATCGCTCCGCAGGCTTGCTCACCCAGGAAGAAGATCTGCCCATGCAGCCCCTGCAACTCTGAGGTCCCAAGCCCCCTCAACCGGCAGCTCCTGTGTTAGCTGGCCCCTGGGTGCCACCTTAAAGAACAGCAGGACATTTCCAAATGGATGAGGCAAGAGAGAGCCTCCACCTGGGGAGAAACAACCTGATGCCCTAACCTCAGAGGAACCCAGCAAGGCTCAGCTCCTCTCCACGGGCAGCAGAAAAAAGAGCCAGGCTCTGGGCAAACCCGGGCTCAGCCCTGCCTGCCCAGAAGGAATGGTCTCTCCCCAAGGGAGTCCAGCACCTCTGCCGCCCCCAAGGCTGCTCCACGAGCCACCTCGTTCCTCCAATAATCTTAACCTCCACGAGCACCCACCTGCCCCCAGCCACCCTCATTATCTGTACTCTTCCTTTCTTCCTTTAAATGGGAAACAGCTTTATTAATATTTGAATTCCAATGGCTAATGCTTTAAATTAAGGTAGCATTTATAAATACTTTAGAGCTGATAAATAATTGACCAAATTTAGTATTGTCATAACTCATAGTAAATTATTGATCTATGGAGAATAAATACGTTTCATCTTTTATTAAGACATTTAAAAGGTAACCAAAACCATAAAATGGTGGGGGGATGGGTGGTGGTGCTGTAAGAGGCCAATGCTAGAGCTCGGGCCCTGGAGTGAGCTGGCTCTCCCGTCCCTCCTGCAGAAGACGCCTCCCTCCAGAGCACAGGACACACACTTGACAGGCATCCATCCTGTCCCACAGACTGTGTTTCAGTGATTCTCTGCCCACTTTCCAACTTCCCAGAGACCTGCAGCAACCCCACCTCCTGCCTTGGAGCCTGCTTTCCTCCTCTCCAGTCACTCCATTACAGAATCCCTCTCTTTCCTTATGTAGCCTGGCTGCTGAAATCCCAACTAGGAGTCAACTCAGGGTGGATCAACCTGCCCACGCTCCTCCACACTGCCGGCAAGCAGTGCAGGGCCACAGAGAGTACCACGCACCTGGCAACTTGGTGACCTTGGCCACATGGCAGTCACCCACCTCAGCAGGGCTCCCCACGCTGACACATCTCTACCACCTCCCTCCCCGTTCTTCTTGAACCACCCAGGTTTATTCCCCAAGTTCAACGAATGACTTACATCCTTTTTCATGAATCAGAAGCCATCATCACAAGCTATCTCGCATGACTTCCTGCCTCCAGAGCTCCACACCTCCCTGTCTGTGCTGAAAGCTCAAGAGAAAAGTTTCTCCTAAGGCTGGTCCCTGCTCCTGAGCTCCGAAGCCTCCCTCCTCTGGCCTTTTCCCACACCCAGATCCATCATGTATACCCTCTCTTTATGGAATCATCAACATTCCTTGCATGTTTGACCCACCCCACTGAACACTAAGCCCGGCCCTATTGAGGGCTCTACCGTTATTTCTCAAGCCCACAAGGCTCCCCCTGGGGTCCTGACCCCCACCCACCCATCTGCCTGAGTTCTCCACTTAATGAGTCCCTTGGCAGCTCAAACTTGATGCATCAACACTGAACTGCCTAGGGTGTGAGTCTGTTCTTCCCGGTCTCCCAAACTCAGTAAAGTGGTGTCCCATCCACCCACCAGTTCCTAACCCTTCTCTCTCACTGGCCCTCTGCACCCAAGCCACCACCAGGCCTGAATGCTTTATCTCCCAAATATATCTTGAGCCTGTCGACTTTCCTCCACTCCACTGCCATCACCTTGGGCCAGAACACTGACACCTCTCCAGTGGACCCTTACACCTCCAACCTCCCCACTTGTCCCAGATGGACACACTGTCCATTCTACACACTAGTGGACTGGCCTTTATAAAGCACCAACCAGACAGTGCTGTCCCTGCTTAAAATCACATGAGCTTCCCACTGGCCTTAAAACAAAACGCACACCCTAATGGGACCCACAGGCCCAGCATACTCCACACCCTATGCCCTGCGTTCCAGGTAGCAGGCCTTTGTGCAGTAACTCAAGCGTCCCAAGCTCTTGCTCACTGCCAGGACTCTTCCCACACTCTCCCCACTGCCTAAAGTACTTCTGCTACGTCTGTCTGGCTAATTCTCCTTCTCCTGTGTGCTGGGTAGGTAACCATCATTCCCTCTAGAGAACCTTCCACACCGTCCCCAGTCTTCCCTCACCATGGTTTGCCTTCCTGGCACTAACAAACATTTGCCATGTTGGACTATTTTGTGTGGTCTCATTCTGCCCATAAGCAGAAGCACCTTCACTGCTTACCCGCCCCCCTGACCCCCAGCACCCAGCACAGCACAGCAGAGCAAGAAACTATGTAATCTGTGGCTCATGCCTGTAATCCTAGCACTTTGGGAGGCCAAGGTGGGCAGATTGCCTGAGCTTGGGAGTTTGAGACCAGCCTGGGCAACATGGTGAAATCCTGTCTCTACTTAAAAAAAATACAGAAAAATTTACTGGGCATGGTGGCCCATGCCTATAATCCCAGCTACTCGGAAGCCCAAGGTATGGGAATTGCTTGAACCCAGGAGGCGGAGGTTGCAGTAAGCCAAGATAGTGCCACTGCACTTCATCCTGGGCTACAAAGCAAGACTCCGTATCAAAAAAAGAAAAGAATCCTCCTAACAACTCTGGAAAATAAGCACAACTGGAGTCCAGATTTCGTGGGTGAGACACAAAGTTTTCAAACTTGCCAAGGTCTCACAGTGATCATGTTCACCAAAAGGCAAAGCCATATCCCACAATTTGGAGAAAGGGAGCCAGTTCCTTAAAGCCAACACTCCTTCTAAGGAGGGGTTCACTGAGAGTTTGCAGAGAACCAAGGGGACAGTGGGGAGGGAAGAGGTATGAGCCTGAGGCCTGGCTCAGGCAGCAGCAGCTGTGCAAGTATCTCACCAGGAGCACTACCAGGCTGGGAGCCCCAGCCTCTCTGGCCTCAAGCTCAGCCTAGCCCAGAGAGGCCCAGGGGAGCAGAGCCGAATGGTCCTGAGGAATGACGGACTGTCGTCCAGGGCAGGTGGGCAGCTCATGCAGTCAGGATGCACGAAGCAGACCAGGAGGGTGGGGAAGAGCTGGCAGCACCATGGGATCTCTGGGGCCTCATTCCTCTAACAATTAATGAATCAAAACCAATTCCCTGCTCCTGCAGATTGGAAACAGGGAACACTGGGTGGGATCATGCTCGCTTATTTATAGCTCTCCAGCTCCTCATTAATGACTTTTACTGCTCCGCCAATGAAACGTTAGGCTCCCCAGCCAGGATTCACATGGAAGCCTACACTGTGAAAGTTAAATCAGGACAGTGATGAGTCCTGGGCATGCCTGCAGGGAGCGTCTTGGAGAACCTCGAAAGCAACTGAGCAATGGGGCTTCCTGAAGCACTCCCAGGAACCCAAGCCCAGACAGCTCCTCCTGGGCTCCTCCTCAGCCCCAGGCCAGCCCACAAGATGTCACCTCCTCACTCTGCCTTTGAATGTCTGTATTCCTCCCCTATCAGCCAACTGGTCTCCCTGCCTCCCAGCCCTTCTTTCTCCAACCCACTCTACAGACCAAAGTCAGTGACAAGCACGCCCTTGAAATATTAGCCATGCTCCCCACTGCAAGTGATCAAAGTCCAGTTTGTGAGATCCTCCACCGCTCCCCAGCTCCACACATCACAATGGCACCAGTGTACTTGCCAACCTTCACGTGCCCCATGCTCTCTACATGTAGACATGCCCATTCTAATCTCTATCTTTGCACGTGCTGATTCCCTTTTCCTGAAATGCTCTTCCTCCCCTACTTTGCCTTTCACACTTCCACTCACTCCCGAAAATCCACCTCAAATGCCTCTTGCTCTTTGGCATTATTTGACTTTTCCCCTGCTAGGCAAAGTTAACCATTCCTTTTCCTGCATGTCCAGGAATACTTTATCCTAGCACACTTCTATTGCATATATATCATATTATCTCATGCTTAATCCCTAAGGTCACAAGAGGAGGAGCTGAGGCTCATGGCTTTGTGTATCTTCAGGGTCAGGGCCTGAAGCAGAGATATTCAGAAGATATGGAACAATTGAATGAGCTGAGTGAAAGCACAGAAACATCCATACTAGGGAAATCATTTGAAATATCAGTGTTTCAAGGTAAACGAGTAAGTCAGAGAATCAATGGGATGGAACTTATGTTAGGAATGAGGCAATGGAAAATTCTGTCTTGTCCAAGACTAGAGTTAGCCTTCAGCGCACAATGAGAAAAGATCTTGGAATATGGGGCCTCCTAGACTTGGTTCAGAATCCAGTCCCTGCATGAATGAGTCAAGAGTCCTGGGCAATTCACTTTATCTAATTCTGCCCAAGAAGGAGGGAGTGGTTCGGGGTCAGAAAAGGACAACGAGAAGCTTGGGAGAAAGCAACGGTGCTGTCCTGGGGCTGGCAAAGGAAGGGAGAGACAAGCAGCCAGATGTGAGAACCCTTGGTTCCATGGGGCCCCAGGCAGGACAACTCAGGTCCCAAGACTATGAAGCACAGCTGGCTCAGAGAGGGTGGAGACTTGGGCAGCACAGGGAGCTCTCTGAGGAGCTCGGCTATGCCCAGGACATAGACTAAGGGGGAAAGAAAGGGACAGGTGTGGCCACATCCAGGGAAGGCTGGGGCCAGAAAAGGATCCCTAGGGTAACCAAGAAGGTGCTTCCAGCTCTGTTTAGAAAAAGGCTGAAAAAGAGGATAAGGTTATGGCAGTGCTCAGGGTGGGGCAAGGACATGCCTTCTGCTGCAGACAAGTGGGAGAGGAGGAAGGGAGCTGTGCCAGGGCCCCCTCAACTAATCACTGAACCGCATGGCCTCCCTGGGAAGTGGGTACTACTACCCCATTCTAGACAGGAGGAACAGGAGCAGAGATCCTAGGTTACAGCATTGCCTAAAATCACAGGGGAGCCTGGGTTCAAACCCTGAGCTGTCTCTGATCTCAAAGTTAAGAGACCAGCCCAGGAGACAGTCAGGCCACTGTGGTAGCTGTGTGCCCTCAGGCAAGCCACTTAACCTCCCTGAGCCTCTATCCCTCACCTGTAAATGGATAATAACAGTCCCACCTCCTAGGGCTGACATGAGAATTAAATGAACTAATTCATGTAAAAAGTTTAGAATAACGTTTGTTACATAGTAAGTGTTCAAAAAAGGATCAACTTCTGTTGTTATTCACAGCCCTCTCATATGGGATCCTGTTTTTAGAGACTCGGCCAAGTAGAGAGTGGAGGAGCTTGGGGCCAATTCCTTCATTCAGTCTGGGCGGGCAGAGGTAGTCTCAGCACTGTTGAGCAGAAAAGCTCTTGGCCAGACACCAATCATGGCCTGGCCCTAGGAAAGAGGCAGCCGGCTTCCCAGAAATTCCACATGCCTGCGGGTTTGGTGCTCCTGTAAGCAACACCTCGTAAGCAACACCTCTCCAGAAGTCACTGGGCCATGGGAACAGAGAATGTCCACTGCACCCTAAAACAGGCTCAGGGAGGGAGCTACACGGTGGTCTCTCCTCCTGCTGGCCTTTGGGCCAGCTGGTCTCCTGGTAACAGACCACTGAGAAGCCCATGAAGGCCAGGTCTGAGGAACCGGAGCCTGCAGTTAGACTCCTATGGACAGGCCACACCACAGAGCCTGCCTCAGCCCTCCCTGCAGCCCCGGGCCACCGGGCCTGATCCTGTGTCCAATTCTCCCCTACCCCACCTGCATTTGTCTCCTGAAAGACAAGAACATCCAGACAGCAGGCTCCAGCATCCCTCCCAGATGGAGAACTGAGGCTCTGTGAGGTTTCTGGCTCTCCCTCTTCATCTCAACCTATGTCTGACTTTTGTTTTTAGCTTTCTCTGGCTCTCTCATTCTCCTTATCATTACTTCTGACTTTCTGAGTCTTGGTCCTGTGTGTGTGTGCTTGTGCGCGTGTGTGTGTGAGTTCATGCACGCACCAGCAAAGGTATATGCAGGTGTATGGGTGGAAATTACTCCCCCCACCGCAGCCTATGTCCTGCCTCCCTGGTAGGGCTGACTGCTCCAAAGCTCCTGTCTGTGCCAAGGCTCTCATCTCCACCCTGCATTTGGAAGCTGACCAGGATGCCCCCTGCTAGGCCCTCAGCTGTCTAGTCTCTCCCACCCCAGGTGATTCATGCAGCAGGAGCAAAACTCACTCCTTGGCCAGCAGCCCTTCTAGGAAAGGTTGGAGTGGCCCACCCTGCCAGCCTAACCAGCCCCAAGCCCCAGCTCCAAGGCCTTGCACTAATCCTGCAGCATAGCCAGCAGACTTCCCAGGGCAACCTCCAGGCTTCAGGATATAGCGCAGGGTCTGGAGGCTATGCTGTGTCCTCATCTCTGCACCTGCTGTTCCCCTGCCAGAAGCTCACTGTCACCTGTTGGCCCCTATCTACCTGGTGAATCCTTCTCATCTACCCAGACAAGTGCCTCCTCCTCTCCAGGGACCTTCTTGTTTACCCACAATCAGGACAACACAGGCCCTTCCTCTGATGTCACTTTCTGCTTTATATGTGATTGCAGCTCAGTGTCATTGACTGCTCCTTGGTCCCTGTCACCACCTGCACTGAGCACCCTCAGGACTTGTGTCTCCCTAGCACCCCGCATGGAGTGGGACCCCCAGCTCTGGATGCCTTGGAGCAGCAGGCAGCAACAGGACAATGCGGGATGTACATCATCCTGGCCTGGCCCTGGTCCACCCACTATCGACAGCACAGCCCGAGACAGCTGTGCTCACCAGGCAAACCATAGGCAATGGCAGCCAGTCATCACCCTGTGGGTCTGTCTCTGGGGTAAAAGTCACAGGGATGCCCACACCCACCTCACTCCCTCTACAACTGCCTGGGCAGTTCAGGTGGGAGTGCATGCAGCCCTCTGTGCCGCTCCCTGGCCTGTCACCTGGTGGGGACCAAGACAGAAGCACTGGCCTGAAGCCTGCCAATGGGCAGGTCTAGCCCATTCCCTCAAGGGGAATGTGCCACCCCTACACCCCCAGCTGCTGGGCTCTTGACCCAGAACCCCCAATCCATCGTCCACCTTTCCTGACTCCATTACCAGGGGACTGTGCCCACCCTCCAGTGTGAGTTCAACGCTGCCAACTGCCCAATGGCCCTTAAACCAGGTATTTGGGCTACAGGTCCCTCTTCAAGGGCCATCCCTCCACAGACGCCGCCCCTCCCTCACTCTGCCCAGCCTAGTTGTTTACCGACCTTGGCTGCCAGCAAGCCCCCAGCATGCCTTGCAGCCAAGCCCAGGGAGATGACCTATGAGGGGCAGCACCCCCGCTCCCCTTCTCCCTGCTCTGCACACTACTCCCCTACAGCCCTGGTCACGTGTGGCCCCCCGTCCCAGAGTGAGGGCAGGAGGGAGAGAGCTGGGGTGAAGCTGGGGAGGTAGTGGGGGTAAATGGAGCGGGTTCCCCCATCCCAGGTCCTTTCTGTTCTTTATATCTTTCTTGTGATTCTTATGTGGCCAAGTGCAAGTGGACTGTTGTCCACATTTACTGGTCAAAATGCTAACTCCAGGGGACTGTGAACAGAATGAGGAAGAGGCAAAGTGACACTACGGAAGCTGAAGGCATCTCTCACAAACTAACTCTGTCCAGCCAGTCCACAGATGCTCCCCCCGGGAGGCAGCCTGGGCTGTGCAAAGAGAATGGACTTGGCAATCACGAAGCCCAGGCCCCAGCCCACCTCTACCACACAGCAGCCCAGAGCCTGGGTTGGTCATGCCTCATGCCTTATTTTGTAAAATGGGGGAAGGGCAGAGAAGAACAAGTCATGGCACCTGCACCACACACAGATGTGAAAATATAGCCACTGGCACAAAATAGATCTTGAATAAGTTCTAAAATGCTAATTCCTCCTCCTCGGGAAGTGTTCATTCATTCATTCATTCATTCATTTACCAATCAAGTGCTAAACACACTCCTTCTTGGCCCCTTTGAAACTAAAAGCCACATTAGTGCAGAGGACGCCGATTGACACAAGAGAAAGGAGGCTCTCCAGAACTCTCAGAGAGAAGGACTGGCCCAGCGGTAAGAGGATAGGTTCTGGCACCGAACTACCCGGACTCGAATCCCTGCTCTGCACCTTACTGCTGTGGGCAAGTCACACCTGCTCCATGCCCTACCCTGAAAACGCGGTTATGATAGTCCTGACCTCATGGAGTAATAATGAGAGTCGAGTTAGTACTGAGGAAGCACTTTGACCAGCACCAGTAAGTACAGGTAACTTACCACCCACTGCAAGAAGAGTGAGAAGAAAGCAGCCTGGCCAGGTTCAAACTCAAAACCAAGCTAGGAGAGTGAGGTCTGGGCTGATGGTCAGACGCCTGGGCATGTCCAAGGCCATCCTCTGCTCATCGGTGCCATCTCTGAGCAGGATGCCCAGGTGCAATTCTGCAGGTGAGGGGTGAGGGGTGCCACACCCAGCCTGTGTCCCACATGCTGCAGGAGCTCTTCTCATTCACCCCAAGTTTTGCATGGGCTTTGCTTTCCAACACCTCATCGCCGTCCTAACAGCCAGCATGACAGCACACAGCCTCTGAAGTTGTTGACATGAGGCCTGTTTTAGAGAATGAGTCAGCCAGGTGTCGGGGGTGCGCCATGCACCCAGCACCAGCATCTGAGGGGACCACCCTGGGGGCAAGGGTCTCTCAAGATGGAAAAGTGGATACAGGTGCTGACTGGCCCCCAAAGCCAGCTTTCTCAGCTTGATCAACCCTGCGCCTCCAGGAGGAGGCAAAGCCATCACGACATAAGCCATGGCCAGCACCTCCCTGGCCATTCAGCCTGGCCCTGCTCCTAATATTTTCTGAGACAGAGCCCAGCTGGCCCTGGGACGTTACCATCTCAGCCCCCAGGTGCTTCAGAGCAGTCGGGGAGAGAAATCGGAAATCTCCTGCAGCCAGCAGGGATGAGAGGGGCTCTTTGCCAGTGATAATGAAAATTTTCACAGTAGCAGATGCTCAGAGAAAATTGAAAAATAATACAACAAAACTCACAAACCAGAGAGGAACTTTAGAGAATCCTGGTTGGTGAGGCTCCATCTTCCCACCAGCACATTTCTAGCCATAATAGACAGATTGGGAGCCACGTTCTCCCAGCAGGTTATCAAATTGCCTCCCGGAAACCCCCCACAAAACTCCTCAAGCACGCCGTGCTGGGAACACAGAACTGAGGCAGATCCCAGCACAGGCCCCAGCAAAGGCTATCTGGAGAGGAAGCCTTTGTGGGCTGTGGGCTGTGGGAGTGGTGGAGGTCCAGCAGGTGGAGTGGGGGTGGACAGTCATGTAGCCTGGGGTGTCAAGGGGGCTTCACAGAGGACAGCAGCTGATGCTGGGGCAGAGAAAGAGGACAACCCAGGCCAGTGGCTGCTGTGAGCCAAGGCCCAGCACCCTCCAGGAATGGCCCGCTCACACTGGGGTGAGAGGTTGGGTGACGGCTGTTAGGAGGAAAGGGAGGGTGGAGTCCCCAGAAGTCTTTGGATGATCAGCTGAGGGGCTTTGTTTTGATCCCAGGAGCAGCAGGGAGCCTTGAAGGCAGGACCTGCTCAGAGCTTGCTTCTGGGAAAGTGGCCACAGGGAGGATGCAGCCAGAGGGCTGGAGGTGGAAGCCCCCTCCCCCTCCTCCTCCTTCTCCTCCTCCTCCTCCTCCTCACCCGGAAGGAACAGGGGTAGGGAGGGCAGGGGGTGGGAGGCAGCAGGAACAGCATCAGGGCCATCACAGAAACAGGGGACAGAGCCAGCTAAAGCATGGGGGGAAGAAGGGGACAGGCCAAGGACAGACACCAAACCCCAAGAACCCTGAAGCTGGCAGGACTAGGGAAGGGCACCTACCACGCGGTGGTCCCCGAGGGTCCTGCATGCCATCTCATGGCATCCTCCCAGGCCTAGAGGGGGGGCCACCCATTTGCAGAGGGGGCACCTGAAGCTTGGCGATGTGAGCCCTCTTGCCAGGTATGATCCACTGCATGGCTAGTGGGGAGTGAGCTAGGACAAGAACTCAGGGCTTCCAAGGGGCACACTCTGCCCACCCCAAGCCTGGGCTTCCAGGTGCCTCCCAGCCCAGGGGGAGGGCGTGGTCAGTCCTTCAGCCTCCAGTCAGCACCTTAGCTGCCCTCAGAGCCTTGAGGGACTCGGTGCCATCTGAGTGCCCAGGGAAGGGGTGGTGGGAGCAGTGGGTCAGGTGGGGAGGAAAAGCGGGGCCTTCACCCCACTCTGTCCTGAAGAAGCCCCATAGAAACCATGCATGTTGCAGGCCAGGCTGAGCTTAGGGGCCACCCAGCAGCTGGGGAGCAGGCCTGTTCACTGAAAAATGGAGGGGCCTCTGAAAGACGCACCCCAGGAGAGGCAGCCTGGCAACCCAGGGCAGTGGAGCTGTAGGAGCCCCTAAGTGCCAGGGCCAGCCACTGGGACAGATCAGATCCAAGACCTCTGAAGGGGAGAAGGGGTGTAAGCATGGGCAAAACTGCATTATGCCATTCCCCAAGTTGGAGTGGACACAAGTCACAGAGCCCGAGCACTTCCCTGGAGCCCAGCTGAAGGGGGGCAGGGCACCCCCTTCCTCACCACAACACCAAGCCACAAGGGCACTAGGGCCACAGTCAGGCAAGGGCTAGGAGTGTCAGGTGCACACCCAAAACAGCACCGTCACCCCCTGGGGGGACATGCGAGACTGCATCCCCCCCTCCACAGCAAGCTCAGCTGGGGTCATAGGGTCCCCACCCCACTGTGAACTATGAGCTCCTGCTGGCTGGGAGAGAAGCCTGGGCATGTATGCTCCCATGCCACTGACCTGCTTCTGGGGAGCACTATGGTATACCAAACCAAGGCAGAGGGGCTCTGAGAATCCCCCCAAAATACCACATACTGCTCATTGCTCTCTGCATTCCCTAAGGGCCTTTTTCTGCAGGGAAAGTGGCTGAGAGCGGGATGGCTAGGTCTGGAGGGCACAGTAGGTTGCTCTGGTGCTCAGCTCCAGCCCTGCCCTGCGCATGGAAGATGGTGCTCCCTTTCTCCACCCCCTGCCCAGACACCTTCCCTGGAAAGAGACAAAGAGATGACAGGCAGAAGGACACAGCTGCCAGGACACACACCAGAGAAGGAACAGGAAGCTGCGGAGCTGTGGCTGGGGGCTCGGCCCCTCCAAATGCCCTGCCTGGCACGCATGCAGGCACACCACCCACAGGCACATGGCCCCCAGCACATGCACACATGGCTGCTCTGTGCTGAGGAGGCATTCCCATGATGGTGCAGGGAGCTTTCCCAGTCACACCCAAGGCCACTGAACCTCTCAGGAGATTTGGAGGGATGATTCCAGGCAGTTCTGGAGGTATGGGGAGGGGCTCTGAGGCCTACCTCTGCACTGTCTCCAACAAGGGCAGCTCAGCTCAGGCTTTGAGGCAGGGGCACTCCCTCCCTCAAGCCCATGGGAGTGGGCAATCCCCAGCCCAGCTTGGGTCGGCTTTCCAAGAAGTGACTGAGGTAGCACAGACAGCAAGTGACAACTGCATGCTGTGTCTATCACAGACGAAGGACCAGCAGGTGATAGACCAGGGACCAGCAAGTGATAGACCAAGGACCAGCAGATGACAGACGAGGGACCAGCAAGTGATGGACCAAGGACCAGCAGGTGATAGACCAGGGACCAGCAAGTGATAGACCAAGGACCAGCAGATGATAGACCAAGGACCAGCAGGTGATAGGCTAAGGACCAGCAGGTGATAAACCAAAGACCAGAAGATGACAGACCAAGGACCAGCAGGTGATACACTGATATTCCAAGTCACATGAAAGAAGGAAAACCTTCCTGGGATGCCAGGCACATGTTCCCTCCAACTGTACTCCGGTTTCACCCCCTCCAACCTCTTGAACTCCCGGAATCCCCACCCTCCCAAGCTCCCACCCCCGACACTCCCAGCATACACAGATGCACACACCTATTTTCTGCATCTGCTTAAGTCACAACAGCATTGGTTGAAGGAAAGTGTGCTGACTGGCTAAGTGAGCCCAAGTGTCCACACCTACCCAGGCAGAGCCTTACCAGAGAGGGGTAAGCCTCCTCCTCCCCCAGTACATTCTTGAAAGGTGGCCCACACTCCATTCAGCTCATGAGAAAAGAGACCAACCCAAGGCTCCTGGGCTTGGGAGTCCCCAGAGGAGAACACAAGGAGTCCCAGGCATGAGGATGCTGCCACCCACTGCCCTGCCACAGCTGGATCCATGGCTGCTTCTGCTCTGACAGGTTCTCATGGGGACTGGGCAGGATGGGATGTGGGGAGCACAAAAATAGGGGAGACGCACTCTACTCTCAAAGACCCCAGCCCAGATGGCAGCTGTCCTGCACCTCCATCAACCCGTAGGGGCTCTAGGAAGCTAAAGGAAGGTGTAAGCTGAGGAGACAGCCAGCTGCTATCCTTAGTGCACCCAGGTTTCACCTCCCTCTACGCAGCCATCCAGAGCACTGGCCACTAAAATAAGCTCAGCCATTGTCACACCAACCACCAAGCCCATGGCTCTCTGTCCCTTCCTCCTCACCCTTCAAAGTTCAATTCAAGTGCCCCTTCCCCCAGGAAGCCCTTGAGATTTTCCCACCCTCGCAACATCCAGAGCTCAGCTCAGCCGGGGCATTATCACTCTGAATCATCACCCTCTGCCTCCACCACCAGGCTGTGAGCTGTTGGAATTTAGGAACCGTGTTGAGGCCACTTCAGGGTCCCCAAGGCACAGGTGCCGGAGGAATGTTTACTGAAGGAGTGAATGAAACTATTGCATTAGATCAAGCCCAGGTGCAGAGGACTGGTTTCACATAGAAAGCATCGATTTTGCCCTACAGAACCCTGACTCCAGTTTTCCAGCAGACAACCCTGGTGTGAAGACAGAGGGGCGGGGAGGAAGGTAGGGGCTGACATTTCCCAGCCCCTCCCAGGCCGGTGGGGAGCTGAATAGCTCAGTGACTTGTCCAGGAGCCCGAGGTAAACCACAGACTAAGAGCCAAGAGTCATGATTCACTACTTGCATTTCTCCAGCCATGACACCAGCAAAGGAAACTGCCCAGGATGAGCTCAGCACTTTTTTGCCTTAAATGGTTGAGTGTTTTTTAAAAGGATATAACACCAAGGGAAGCAGTACTCAAGGCTGAGAATTACGAATATTTATAGCGTTTAAGCATAATCGTATTCAGATGAGGACTATATATTGCTCACGGCAATTTGCACTCTTCTCAAAGCGTGTATTTCTGCAGGGAAGGAGGCCCAGTGGCTGGATGTCGGCCTGGAGACAGCAGGGTCCAGAAGGTACAGGAGAGCTGCTAGCGTCCCAGCTCCAGCCCCACCTAGACATGAAAGACAGCATCTGCCAGACACCCTGCCCTGGAGGGGGACCAAGAAGGCCCATGGGCCTCAAGTTGTTGGGGAGAGGAGCAGAAAGAACTGCTAAGGACCAGCTCAGAAACTTAGAGGTCCCCCAGCTCTTTGGGTGACAGGACCCTTTTATAAAGTTCAAAACTGGCTCCTACATGAGGTAGCTGTACTTTAGTACCTGCTGCTGGAGAGCACTCATTGTGACCTCAAGCCAATGTGCCCTCAGCAAATGAACCTGCATGTTATTACAGCAACCATGACATCACGGCCGTGTGTGAGCATCAGGTCACCATCAAGGCTGCAGGCATTCGTGGGGTCTTTTCTACAGAGCTGGGGGCCTCATGGGGACCCACTCATTGGGGCTTTGGAATTCCACAGGCCCGATTCAATTAATAGTCACCTAATGAAGGTGACAAGACCCTGCAGGTGGACAGGTAGGCTGATGGGGCAAAGGACAGAGGCATGAGAAGCAAGAAGAGCGTAAGAACGAAAGGGAAGAAGGACATCCCGGAAGACCTCAGAGCCACGTCTCTGGACAGGGGACCTGCCTGTTTCCCGCACAGACCTACTGGGGATCCTACCCACCCACCCCTGGCCGTCACACGTCATACGCCTCACTCATATATGCAAAGCTATTGAAAAGCCACCTCCCTGAGCTGACACCCCATGAAGCAGTGGTCAGAGCCCACCCCAGCACACCCTCCCACCCCAGCATACCCTCCCACCCCAGCATACCCTCCCACCCCAGCACACCCTCACTCCCACCCCAGCACACCCTCCCACCCCAGCACACCCTCCCACCCCAGCATACCCTCCCACCCCAGCATACCCTCCCACCCCAGCACACCCTCCCACCCCAGCATACCCTCCCACCCCAGCACACCCTCCCGCCCCAGCACACCCTCACTCCCACCCCAGCACACCCTCCCACCCCAGCACACCCTCACTCCCACCCCAGCACACCCTCACTCCCACCCCAGCACACCCTCACTCCCACCCCAGCATACCCTCCCACCCCAGCATACCCTCCCACCTTCAGTTTTCCCATTGGAGTGGGGTGTTGGCAGCAACAGGAGTCACCTTGGACAAGTGCCCCAAGTCCCAGCCCGGCCTCCTCACCCACTCCCTCCAGAAGCAGCAGTCCCAGCAGAGAGGCAGCCAGGCCTCCCCTCACCCGCAGCCCCCTAAACCAGCTGGCGGTCCTCCCTGAGCTCAGCCAGCTTGCACACACTAACTAGGAAATGGAACTGCCAAAGGCCACCTGGAGACAACTGCAGGGAATTACCAGGCCTCAGCCTTGCTGCTTTTCCTGATTTGGTGCTGCATGCCCTGCTGGCACAGGCCTCCTGCCCTGCAGTTTATCCTTCACTACATTATCAAGCATCTACCAGAGGAGCCACCCTGAGCTGTGCGCCTGCAGCTGGTGGAAAGGGGAAGCCTCCAAAGCCACAGAGTCAAGAAAGGGAGCCTCCCTCTGATATGGGCCTGGGTGAAGCCACCTGCTCTACCAGGGCAGCTTCCCAGTGGGGAAGAGGCTTGAGAGGAGGGACTGAGCCTGGGGAAAGGAGAAGCCTGGAAAGGTGGAGTTGAGAAAAGGAAGACGAAAGACAATGGCAACTGGGGCCGCCCCTCCCCTCAAAGGGGCCCTTCTGGGGTGTATGGTGGGTCATAGGCACTGAGGTGGCCCATGAGACCAGCATTAAGGCAGGGGTGGTGGAGAGCTCATAGTACTCCCTAAGAACTTGCTCATAGTAGTGGGGGGCTGCAGCCCCAGCACCAAGGCAGGAGCTCCTGGTCTTTTCATTTTCCTGCCTCCAGCCTTGCCTCTTGGGCTAACTGCTCACAGGAGCAATCTTCCTAAAACCCACACCTGCTTAAGACTCTCAAAGACTCCCATTCTCACAGAACTAGCAGCCAGAGACCCAGCCCCAAGACCCTCATGAGCTCAGCCAGCCCAGTTCCCCAGTCCCTTCCCAATACCTGCTCCCACCCCATTCCTTACTCTGCTGTCCTTCCTCACACGTCTGAGCCCCAGCCCATGCCAGCCCTCTGCCTGGAGGATGCTCGGCCCAGCTCCCACCTGTGAAGTCCCTGCTTGGTCCTCAGCATGGCTCCCCTCCCAAGGTGAGCTCCTGTGGTGGCCATCCTCCCTCCATCATGGGTGCTCCATGCACCGTTCCCACCACTAGACTGTGAGCCACTGCAGGACCTAGGCCATGCCTCATCTGTGCTTAGCCCCAGGCCCTGCATGGTGCCTGACACATGGTAGATACATAGTAAACACTGAGGAAAATGCTGAATGATGGCCACAAAAGAACAGACAGATGGGTAGGTAGATGGGTGGGCAGACTGATGGGTGAATGGATAGATCAACAGATGGGTGGATGGAAGGATAGTTGGATGGATGGAAGGAAAGATGGTTGAATGCGTGGATGGATGGGGGACCGGGTTGGGGTGGATGGATGTGAGGTGAGTGGGTGAGTAGGTGGGTGGATGAATATGTAGGTGGTTGGGTGAGTAGGTGGGTGGATGGATGTGTAGGTGGTTGGTTGAGTAGGTGGGTGGATGGATGTGTAGGTGGGTGGGTGAGTAGGTGGCCGGATGGATGTGTACATGGGTGGATGGAGGGGTGGGGGAGAGGATGGTGTGGTGAGGAGTGAATGGGGGTGGCTTGGTGCATGGGAGGGGGTGGGTGGGGTGAATGGGAGAGGAAACGTAGACAATCAGAGGAAGTCTGACCTTGCTCTGGCCTTGGTCCCCCATCCTCACTCCACACCACCCAACCACAAAGGCACTTAGAAGGATTAAGCCTCCTTGATACAATTGGAGCAGCTGGAAATAGCTTTGCGCAGCCTGCAGCCGCTGCCTTCCAGCAATCAGCCTCAATCAACACCCACCTGGCCCTGCTGCCAGTTAATTCCACCTGACACCCTGGCCAGGCATCCCAGAGCTGCCAGGTGTTGGCCCCGTATGAGGGATGGCAGGAGATGGGCCTACTCCACCAAGGCCAGCAGAAAAATCACTCTCCTGGACCCCCCAGTACCCAATGAGAACAACAGTGTCCCAGGAGCTCCAGCCCACAGCAGAGCTTGGAGACACCAAGAGACACCCACACACACACATTCAGGGAGCTGGGTCACCCCTCAGGAAGTGGATGTGTGGGTTCCCTCCTGGCCCGGCCACTCTTTTATACTCACTTGGCAACCAGTTCATTGCTCTAAAGAGCTGGGACCCCAGGAGGGACCCCTAAGGGCATCTTGCATTGGTCTCTTCAACACCAAAGAGGCAACAGCAGAGACTGAGGGAGAGAAGTGTGACCCCTCTAAATGCTCCACTTGCTCAGAGGCACCCTGAACAAGGGTGTGGGTGTGGAGGCAGTGGGTACTCACAGTAGGGAGGGGCTGCCTTGGTCCAGAGTGGGGCTCCGTGCCCTCCGAATAGGGACTGCTTGTAGCTGGGGGAGGGTCCCCACATGATCTCCTTTGGGCCTTCTACTTTGTGAACCCTGACTCAGCCCCATTCCCTCAATCTCTCTAGCCATGTGCCTCTGTGCCTCCCATGGGAACCTCAGTGCTTCAGCCTAAGCCAGGCCACCCCACTCTCTAGCAAGTGCCTGGGGCCAGCACTGCCAGTCCCCCTCCTCCCAGGGCAGAGGAGCAGCTAAGGCACCTGCTGGGGCCTGAGGCCACCAAAACACCAGGCAGCACTGCAAGCAGAGTGTGGGGTTCAGAGTAAGGATGAAGAAGCCAGGCTGCCAAGGTTAAAGCCACTTAACTCTGTGACCTTGGGCAAGACACCTAACTTCTCTGTGCCTAATTTCCTCATTGGCAAAACGGGCTAATAATAGCCCCGCCTCACAGGCTGAGTGAGTAAATGGTGTAAATTGCTGAGAGCCGAGCCTGACTCACAGGGCACCCTCTATGAGTTTCAGCTATTCTCATGATCTGGGGGTGGCAGTGGGTGCACTTCTGGGAGTACACAGGCCCCAGTCATTCCAGGGACCCCAGAAGCTTCATTCTTAAGCAGGTTTGTCATAGCCCAGCACTGCCTGGAGTTCAACTCATCTGGCTTCAACCCTTCTGATGGCGTGGCCAGGGCAGACAGCCGGGCGTGCGGGCCAGCCAAGTCCACCTACCCATACCTGGCATCTGCTGTAGCCTCCTCCACAACCTCCCCCACTTCACTAAGTCCTGCCCAGACACCTCTCCTTCAGATGACCTGCCCTGAACCCCAGGCTAGGCTATGTCCTCTGTAAGACACCACCACACATAGAGTCCTGTCCTCAGGCAGTCACTCCACCATATGGCCACACCTGTCTGCCTCACCTTGGGATCCCCAGAGCCTGGCCCAGAGCAGGCCCTGAGGGTGCTTGTTGACTCAACATGGGACCATTGGTAAGTGAAGGAGTAACAGCCTCCAGGTATCCCCAGCCCCTGCATCCTGCTCCTGGTAGCAGCAGCTCCTCCTCCCGGCCTTAGCCCTCCTGCCTATGGTGACCAGCCAGCCTCAAGCAGCCCACCACGAGCCCAACTTGCCCCTGCCTCCTAAACCTGGCTTCAGGCCCTGCCTGACCTCACCCTACAGTCCCGCCCCATCCCAGAACCACCACCCACCCTACCCCAACCCAGACTGGGCAATCATATCAAGAACTACGGAGGAGAGAGGCCACCACAGGTCTCCACTTCTCTGGTCACACAGTTGCCTGGGGGAGTTTCTATCACAGATGAGGAAATGAGTCTCCAGTGGGGACAACACCACCAGGAACTCCTGTGCCACATTTGGCTTCCCTCGGAGCTGGAAGTCTCACCCCTCCCAGAAGCCACTCAGTGACAATGCACAACCAAAGGACAGCAGACAGAGCTCAAACGGCTTCTCCTGATCAGCTCTGGAGAGGCCATCATCAGCACTAAACCTGGCTGAGCATTGAGCCTGGAGCGAGGAAACATGCATTTCTTTCTGTCTCCACACCTGAACTTCCCACTGTTCCCTGAACACATGTCACCTTTCAACATTTTGTACTTTTGCATACCCTGTTTCCTCTATGTGCATAAGTCTCCTCTGACCACTATAAATTCCTACTCATACTTCAAGAGTTTGCTCAGTTGTCACCTCCTCCACGAAGACTCCCCTGATTTCTCCCAGATCTCTCCTCTGTGTTGCCAGAGCTGTCTCCCCCTCTGGTCTGTGAGCGCCTCCAAGCAGGATCATGTCCAACCCATCTATCCATCTCCCACCCAGGGCTGGCAGATGGGCTCCCTCCATGGATGGTGACATGAGTAATACACACACATCTCTGTGCCCGGCGGTGTGGGCAGTGACAGGCCCAAGTGGCCACACTTCTACCCAAGCTGCAATCCCTGGTTCCATGAGACTTTCCCGAGGACCAGGCCTCTCAGCACTGGGCTGTTTCCAAGGTCTCTAAGCACAACTCTGGCTCCAGCAAACCCAAACATCTGTGGTGGTGGCCAGGGACGGAGGGAGAACTGCCTGCCCAGCTAGGCTTCCAGAAGGGGCCTGTGATACACATTTTGCAAATGGCAGGAGACATGCATGTCAGAAAATTGTCCACAATCAATTTCAAATTCCAAGCGGAAATGGTTGGTTTGCTGCTAATCTGCTGGAAATCTGAAGATAGTGTCTCCCAGGAGGGAGGCAGGGGGCCCGGGCTGGTTCCTGGGAGGTCAGAAATGCCCTCTTGACCCCCACCATCTCTGCACACTCAGGGCACAGCCATCTGCCTGGGAAGCAGGGCCAAGTCATTCTGCACTCCGGACAGAGGCTCTGGCTCTAATGGCCCCTGATCCAGCAGGCCACAGGTAACCCTATTCCAGACCCCCTAAGTGAACCCTTGTGCCCTGAGCCAGGGCATGCTGAACCAGGCAGGCCCATGGCCCTACTGTCAACCATTCTCTCTCTCCACAAGTATTCAAGCAATGAGACAGCAAAAGCTTTGGATGAAGAGCACAGTCGGGGTCATGTTATCTCTGTAGGCCTCAGCTTTCCCATTTGATAAATGGGAAGAATAACCTGTCCAAGTGTGTCTCCAAAGGGTATTTGCTACCACAAAAGGAAGCAGAGTGAGCAGCTATTATTAACCACCACAGGAGTCATTAGACAGCTGACCTCAATCAGCACCTAGTCTGTGCCTCCTATTGTATTTGGAGACGCAGTGTCTTCAGTTACTCATCAGCAAACCTCTTCACAGTAACATGCATTTAACTGTCTGTCTCCCCAAGGAAGCAAGCAGTCCAGGACCTCCATGTGACCATGATTCCCCGAGGCTGGCACACAGAACACACTCAACAAATGCTCATTGGGTGAGGGATGGGGTGAGGGTTGCTCCTATACTGCAAACCCTCCCGTGTATCCGCATGGACATTTTTTTTTACCTCCCAGAGACTGGGGTACCCTCTTCTCACTGCACTTGGGTATAAGAGAGGAGAAACAAGGGTAGAGAAGTGGGCCAGGAAGCCCTGAATCCCAGCTTCCCTTTCCCTGTTTTCTCCTCTCTCATCCCTAAGTGCAATGAGAATAGCGCATCCCAATCCCACGAGGAAGAAAACTGGGAGGCCAGGGAGGGCCCCAGGGGAATAACGCAGCCGTTGTATTAGGGAGCCAGGAGAAAAGGCAAGCTGAGCAGCACTGTTCCCGCATGCTCTGGAATGCCGCTCCCGCTCCCTCAGGAACTGATACACTGAGGGTTCTCTGGCTGGCAGTCACTGGGCATCTCTCTGAGCCTCAGTTTTCCAGTCTCTATAATGGGGACAGACTTGATGCAAAGACTCAGTGAGGTTTCACAAGCCCAAGACTGCACTGTGTCAGGTACAGTCAAGGCAGGAGTCGATACAGCCCAGCTGCCTCTCCTGTTGTATTTCCCACCCATCCTGAACCTACCCCCACCACCACCTGGACAGATCAAACTAGACTCCAAAGAGATACTGCGAAGTGACTGGAATAAGAGGAGGGAGAGAGTTTAGTAAAGGGAAGTAGAGAAATCTAGAGTACAAATGCCCATTTTTAAGTTTTTCTCAAAGAATAGGGAATGCTTTAGCAAGGCTCAGGATGAGACTTCCTTTTCAGGGCATTAACAATTTGTATTTTTCACTATCCATCTTCCTTGCAGTCTTTTGCAGGGAGGGAAAGTCTATAAATATTTTTTTTTAAGAAACGACTGCATTTTGATGAACTCAGCTTAGCAAGTGCTTTGCATATGAATGGGACCTGATTAGCTGGCACTCTCCCACAGCAGAGTAGCCTGCAACTTCAAGCTTTCCCAAGAGTTAAAAAGTTGAAGCAGCCACATTTATGTGGCTCCTCTAATAAAAAAATCAGGCATCATTTATTATTAATGCTTGGCTCTGATAAATACCCTCATCTAAAATTCTTCACTTGCAGGAACCCTTCAGGATAATTTCTCAGGATAACCAAAGAGAGTACTTCAGCCAGGCCTTTGCAGGAGAACGGGATGTCTATGGCAGAGGCTGGGGGACAGGATGTGACACCCACTGAAGTGGCCGGCTGGAGCGTTTTAGGGAAAGCTGAACAGTCTCAGCCACCGAGAGAGGGAAAGCCGTCAGCTGCAGAAGGGGCTCTGCCTCTGTTGTGACCACCTCAGCCAGGTTCGGTGCAGCTTCTGAGAAGACTAGCACTCATATTAATTCCCCAGATGAGATGGCTGGGAGCAAGGGGCCAATTTCTATAATCCAGAGGTGTCTGCTAATTGACATCAGTCCTCCCACAAAGCCAGGCTGTGGTGCGGAGGCTGTTCCCTGATGGAGTCGCAGATGCTATTAGTGTCCCAGCCAGGCCCCCTTTACAGATGGACACTCCCATCCCCTCTTGCTCTAAATGTTAGGCAGCTGGGCCTCATAGGTGCCCCCTTCTCCAGCAAACTTCCCTCACCCAGGGGAGCTGCCGGAGGGGATGGCCCACTCCCCACCCTAGGGTAGCTCACAGCCAACATCAGACAGTGGTGGTGGTAGAGGAGGTCACCCCTCCTTCCCTCCAGAGGGAACAACTCTATGTTCCAGAGTCCCTGATCAGGACAGGCTAGACTTACATGATACCACATCCTTCCTTGTCTCTTTTTCCTCTCTAACCTGCTTCCCTCCATAAATCTCAGACACCCAACCCCTGTCCCAGGCTCTGCCTCTAGGGAACGTGACTGGAGACAATTGGGCCCTCCAGATCCACTACTGGGACTCTGGAAGGCTGACTGCTGTGGACGGCATGGCCAAGACTCCCTTGTCCCCAGGTCCCTTGGTGATTTGACCAATGGGAGACACAGGCAGGAAATGAGAGGGTGGAGAGGGGGTGGGGGTGGGGAGGAGGGTGGGTGAGGGTGGGGGTGCTTCTCCCCTGGCTGCCTCCTTGCTGGGTTGACTGTGGCTGCACTACCTGCTCCAGTTGCTGTCCCCTCTCTGTGCCCCTTCAGGACTAGGGACAGGAACACCTCCTGAGGCCACTTCAACATAGCTGGTGCCCTAACTTTGCCCACACTTCTAGGAAAACTCTGTTCAGGGTCTGTTTGCTACCAGACCTTAGCTGGCCCGGCAGAAATGCTCCATCCCCCTTTTCCTTCCTCCAATTTAAAATGGGAGGTTTCATCAGAGCCACCCTAGAAAGAGAGAAGTGGCCAGCTTTCAGGGTTATTGAGAAACAAACATCGGGCACGTCTGCCCCCAGCTAATCCCTATACAGGCAGCAGCTCCCACGCTATCAAATGAGCCCTGCTCCCCAGTGGAGCCAAAAGAATGAAAGCCAAACAACGGCATTGGTTTTTCCAGAATCCCTGTGTGCATCCAGACACACGGAAGGGTCTGCACCTCTCACTCATCGGCTCCTTAGTAACTAACAACTTAGGAAGATCCAATGTGAAGCAAGAGATTAAAATTTCATGCATTTTGCTTCAAATATCTACAAAAACTAAGTTTCCTGGGAGAAAAGAGAAAACTCTTTTCTCTAAGCAACACAAAAAGCAAGCCATGGCCCAAGCCCCCCCAGGTTGGTGTTGCGGTGTAAATCTTTAATTTCACTTGCTGCTCTCATCCTCTGACCCCAGCAGCATTCCATAAATATTTAGGCAGCAAGCATCAGGCTTGTTTTCTACTTTGGAATGCTAATGATGAGAATGGGAGGGTGAGAAAGCAGCCTCCATGGTCCATCCAGCTCTGGGCCCATCAGCAAAATACAGCAGGCATACTGGCGACACAGGGAGCCACCGGCTTCCTTAATGAGCCGAGATGCAGTTCATGGGGAAAATCACTACCTGCAGGCGCACTGATGGTGGAACCACCAGCCAAATCAATAGAGCTGGAGAAACCTCAAAGGGAGGGAGGTGCAGGGGAGAGGAGAAAGCACAGTGGAGGGGAGAAAGCTCCACGGACGTGCATGCAGATAGACTTTTTCCCAAAGAAAATGCAGCTGCCCAGTTCAGCCCTCTCGGCCTCCCTACTCCCCGGGCCAGAGCCTGGCCAGCTCTCTCCTTGGGCCTTGCACACTCATACATATGCCCTCCTCAAATATTCAGGCCCTGGAGAAGGCCCAGTCCCAACCTCCTAGTCCTCCACCCACCACCAAATGCAACTGTCACCTCCCCTGCGGCTCCCACATTGCAGAGGGCAGAGGTCTCTCAACTCCTGCCCGAGGCTGACCTCTCTGTACCTGGCAGTGTGGACCACAGACCCAGGCCTGGAGAAGGCTGGTCTTGCTTTGAATTCTGCCTTGACCATTTTCTAGTTATGGTCTTCAGCAAGATCATTTTAAACAGCTTTATTAAGGTACAAACTACATACTATGAAATTCACCCATTGCATGGTTTTGAGTTTTAGCAAATTTATACAATTGTGCAACCATCCCCACTATCCAGTTTTACAATATTTCCATACACCCCAAAGGTCCCCTCATGCCTGTTTACAGTCAATCTCTGCTTCCACCCCCAGCTACAGCCAGCTACTCATCTGGTTTCTGTCTCTATAGTTTTGCCTTTTTTGGAAATTGCACATAAATGGAATCATACAACACGTAGTCTTCTGTGTCTGCCTTCTTTCACTTAGAATAATGTTTTGAGGTTCATCCATGTTAAGCGTGTATCAGTGTTTCATTCTTTTGTATTTCTGAGTAGTATTCCACTGAATAGGAATATCCAATTTTGTTTATCTATTCACCAGTTGATGGACATTTGTGTTGTATCCAGTTTGAGGCCATCATACATAATGCTGCTATGAACATTCATGTATAAGTCTTTGTATAGACATATGCTTCCTTTTCTCTTTCGCAAATTCCTAGGAGTGGAATTGCTAAATGATATGGTGAAGTATATGTGTTTATCTTTTTAATAAGCTGTCAAACTGTTTTTCGCAGCAGCTGCATCATTTTGCATTCCCGCTGGCAGTGTATGAGGGTTCCAGTTGCTCCACATTCTCAAAACACTTGTTACTGTCTTTTTTATTATAGTCATCCTAGTGGGTGTGAAGTGGTATCTGATTATGTTTTGATTTGCATGTCCCTAAAGACTAACATTATTGAACATCTTTTCTGCATGTTTATTTGAAATCTGTATCTCTTTTTTGGTGAAGTATCTATACAAATCTTTTGCCCATTTTGTATTGGGTGGCTTGTCTTATTGAATTGGAAGACTCATTTATATGTTCTGGACAGAAATTCATTATAAAATATGTGATTTGCACGTTTTTTCTCTTAGGCAATATTTCAACCTCTCAATGTCTTCACCTGCAAGTTGAAGTATGCCATAACACTTTACCATGTTGTAGTAAAGAACAAGGATGATGAGTGCCTAGTGTGTCACATAGGCCATTGAAAAACGGAGCCACCACTACCATCACTGTCCCCACTTCATCCCTAGAAGTCAAGGTCTGCATGGTCTTGGCCTTCAACTTGAAGTACCCAGTGCAATACAGATGAGGACCCAGGACAGCTTGAGCCCTAGGCCATTCCGGCATCCCCAGCATGTTCCCTCCACCACCTGCATACATCATCAATGACACTAGCTCCAGTCTTCACACAGCAAAGTGCAATATCAGCAGGCAGGACCCATTACGGGAGCACTGAGAATGGAGCACAGTCTCAAAGGGGACAGGTGTGAGTAGGGGGAGGATGACAAGACGTCTTGGCACAGGGGTCAGGAGGAGCAGAAGCACAGAGAAGGAAAATGTGCATGGCAAATCCTGGGTGCCAGGGAAGGGCTACACGCCTGACCCAGCGAGTGTGGCCAGGCCTGGCTCTCAGGGTTAGCAGGAGAGCAGAGAGCAGGAGGCAGAGTGGCACTCTGGGGGCCAGGCCATGCTGGAGCCCCTGAGCACTGCTGCTGGGAGGTAGACGTGGTGAGATACACTCAGGAAGAACTTCTAATTCCATGGGCAGGCACGACACAGTCCTCTGCTTCTGCTTCCACACTCCTTCCCCTCAGAGACCCAAAGCCCAGGAAAGCCAGGGAGACCTCTGTGCCAGGATCTGTGTCATGAACACTGTGCCATTTCTCACTACGCTCCTGGGAGGAGGTGACATTACCTCCTATGTTAAGGGCTGAACTGTGTCTCCCTTAAAATGCCCTAACCCCCAGTACCTCAGAATGTGAACTTATTTGGATACAGGGTCTGATATGGTTTGGATTTGTGTCTCCGCTCAAATCTCATGTCAAATTGTAATCCCCCCAGTGTTGGACGGGGGGCCTGGTGGGAGGTGACTAGATCATGAGGGTGGATTTCCCTCTTGCTGTTCTTACAATAATGAGTGAATTTTCGGAAGATCGGGTTGTTTAAAAGCATGTAGCACCTGGATGGGCACAGTGGCTCACGCCTGTAATCCCAACACTTTTGGAGGCCAAGGCGGGTGGATCACGAGGTCAGGAGTTCAAGACCAGCCTGGCTAACACAGTGAAACCCCATCTCTACTAAAAATACAAAAAATTAGCTGGGCATGGTGGCAGGTGCCTGTAGTCCCAGCTACTCAGGAGGCTGAGGCAGGAGAATGGCATGAACCCAGGAGGCGGAGCTTGCAGTGAGCCAAGATTGTGCCACTGCACTCCAGCCTGGGCAACAGAGCGAGACTCTGTCTCAAAAAAAAAAAAAAAAAGCATGTAGCACCTTCCCCTTCTCTCCTTCTCCCTCTCCTGCCATGTAAGACATGCCTGCTTCCCCTTCGCCTTCCACCATGATCCTGAGGCCTACCTTAGTCATGCTTCCTGTACAGCCTGTGGAACTGAGTCAATTAAACTTCTTTTCTTTATAAATTACCCAGTCTCAGGGAGTTCTTTAAAGCAATTTGAGAACCGACGAATACAGCAAATTGGTATTGAGAAAGGCGGCATTAGTATAAAGATACCTGAAAATGTAGAAGCGACTTTGGAACTGGGTAATTGCCAGAGGTTGGAACAGTTTGGAGGGCTCAGAAGAAAACAGGAAGATGAGGGAAGCTGAATATAAAAGTTTGGAAAATTTGCAGCCTGGCCACGTGGTAGAAAAGAAAAACCCATTTTCTGGGGAAGAATTCAAGCAGGCTGCAGAAATTTGCATATGTAAAGAGGAGCCAAATGTTGATAGCCAAGATAATGGGGAAAATGCCTCAAAGGCATTTCAGAGACCTTTGCAGCAGCCCTCCCATCACAGGCCTGGAGGCCTAGGAGGGAAGAATGGTTTTATAGGCAAGGCCCAGGACCTGCTGCTCTGTGCAGCCTTGGGACATGGCACACTGCATCACAGGCACTCCAGCTCCAGCCATGGCTAAAAGGGCCAAGGTGGCCAGGGGTGGTGGCTCATGCCTGTAATCTCAGCACTTTGGGAGGCTGAGGCAGGCAGATCATGAGGTCAAGAGATTGAGACCATCCTGCCCCCCGTCTCTACTAAAAATACAACCCCATCTCTACTAAAAATACAAAAATTAGCTGGGCATGGTGGCACATGCCTATAGTCCCAGCTACTTGGGAGGCTGAGGCAGGAGAATCACTTGAACCTGGGAGGCAGAGGTTGCAGTGAGCCGAGACTGCACCACTGCACTCCAGCCTGGTGACAGAGCGAGATTCCATCTCAAAAAAAAAAAAAAAAAAAAAAGCGTTTGGCGGGGCAAGGTACAGCTTGGGCTTCAGAGGGTGCAAGCCATAAGCCTTGCTGGCTTCCACAGGTGTTAAACCTGCAGGTGTGCAAAGTGTGCGAGTTGAGGCTTGGGAGCCTCCACCTAGATTTCAAAGGATGTATGAAAATGCCTGGATGTCCAGGCAGAAGTCTGCTGCAGGGGCAGAGCCTTCATGGAGAACCACTACTAGGGCAGTGTGGAGAGAAAATGTGGAGTTGGAGCCCCTACACAGAGTCTCCACTGGGGCACTGCCTAGTGGAGCTGTAAGAAGAGGGCCACCATCCTCCAGACCCCAGAATGGTAGATCCACCAACAGCTTGCAACATGTGCCTAGAAAAGCCACAGGCACTCAACACTCCATCCTCCAGAGCTGTAGAGGCTGAGCCCTGCAGAGCCATAGGGACAGAGCCGCCCAAGGCCCTGCGAGCCCACCCTTTGTATTAGTGTTGCCTGGATATGAGACATAGAGTCAAAGGAGATTATTTTGAAGCTTTAAGATTTAGTGACTGGGTTTTGGGCTTGCATGGGGCCTGTAGCCCCTTTGTTTTGGCTGATTTCTCCCTCTTGGAATGGGTGTATTTAGCCAATGCCTGCACCCCCATTGTATCTTGGAAGTCACTAACTGGTTTTGAGCTTGCAGGCTCATAGGCAGAAGGTACTTGCCTTGTCTCAGATGAGACTTTGGACTGTGGACTTTTGAGTTAATCCTGAAATTAGTTAAGACTTGGGGGACTGTTGAGAAGGGTTGATTGTATTTTGCAATGTGATAAAAAATGAGACTTGGGAGGGGCCAAGGACAGAATAATATGGTTTGGATTTGTGTCCCCACCCAAATCTCAAATTATAATCCCCGTGTTGGAGGAGGGGCCTGGTGGGAGGTGATTGGATCATGGGGGCAAATTTCCCTCTTGCTATTCTTGCAATAGTGAGTGAGTTCTCACAAAATCTGGTTGTTTAAAAGCAAGTAGCACCTGCTCTTGCTCTCTTCTCCCTTCTCCAGCTATGTAAGACATGCCTGTTTCCCTTTCACCTTCCACCACGATTGTACGTTTTCAGAGGCCTCCTAACCATGCCTCATATACAGCCCAGAGAAACAATTAAACCTCTTTTCTTTATAAATTACCCAGTTTCAGGTAGTTATTTATAATAATGTGAGAATGATCAAATGCAGGGTCCTTATAGAAGTGATTAAATTAAAACGAATCAGGAAGGTGGGCCCTATTCCACCTTTATAAGACTGGTGTCCTCATAAGAAGAGGAGATGAGGACACAGGTACACACAGAGGGAAGACCATGTGAAGACACAGGGAGAAGACAGCCATCTACAATCTAAGGAGAGGGGCTCAGCAGAAACCAACCCTGCCAACACATTGATCTTATACTTCCAGCCTCCAGAACTGTGAGAAAATAAATATCTGTTTTTGAAGCCCACCAGCCTGAGGGACTTTGTTATGGAAGCCCCAGGAAACCAAATATCACATTTCCAGATAAGGAAACTGTGGCTCAGAAGCGGACACTGTACCTGAGGCCCATGGCTGGGGAGAGGCAAGCCTGGCTGTCTGGTTTCAGGGCCCTGGGCCTCCACACTTTCCACCCCCATCACTCCAGCACACACATCACTAGGACATGAGCTTCCTGGGAGCTAGAACCTGGCCTGGGATTGTGCCTGGCTCACAGGGGCATTCTGGGACCATCTGGAGAATGAGAGTGGAGTGCTGCCTCCTCTGCACTGAGCCCCATGCTGGAGGGCCAGGGGCACTGAGAGGAAGGTGCAGGGAAGGCAGCAGGTCAGTGAAGCAGGTGCTGAAAAAGAGCTGTGGCTATTGTACGCAAGAGGGCAAGATATGTCCAGGGGCCCACCTCTTGGGTGGGTGCGGCGGGGGCGGGGGTGGGCAGGGCAGAGCTGGGACCCTTGAAAAGCAGATTTTAGCTCCAGAAGAGAAGAGACCAACTGCTCCCCTATGGAATGTGCTGCCCAGATAAGGAGTCCAAGCAGCAGCTGCACGCAGTGGAGCAGCCACCAGGTGCATCAGGGTGAACCTAACAACATGTGGCTTTCCAGCCATGGCATCAATGCTGCCGCCAAGCAGTGGCTCACTGGTGGTCACCTCAGGTCCCCATCCTCCAGAGATAGCAGCATGGGAGCCCCAGACCAGCCTCGGGGAGCCAAGCACAGAGCAGCAGGAGCAGCCAATGTGGAAAGGCGTGGAAGGTGTCCCTGCCAGGCTGGGTCAGAGCCCCTGAGAAGGCCCCACTGGCCCTGGGGACATGAAGCCTGAATGGACACTGCCTCTTTACCCAAGCACACAAGGAGACACAGCCTGATGCTAAAGTCTAGGCAACAGGGTCTGGGGAGAAGCCACCATTCTTTGGAATCAGTGGCCACTGCCCAGTGCTCTGTGAGGGGTCCAAGGCCCTGTTGCCCACAAGATGCACCAGCTCCCACTTGTTTACCACTCTCAGCCTTGGCTATGAACTCTCACCTTATCTCTGACCCTTCAGTCCACCATGCCCTGGCCCCCCAGCCCCTCTCCTCACCTCACCCAGGCTGTCTATTCCCTGAAGTGACTTTGGCTCCTCTTTGTAACTCCCTCTCTGTCCTAGCCCTTCAGGGCAAAGGCTCCACCCGCTGGCTGGCCCTGGCCATCAGGACCCCTCCACTTCTGGCAAGTTAAGAGTGAGGCATCTTTACAGGGGGGCCCCCTACAGCCGCAGGCTGAGTCCCTCTGGGCAATGCCCCTGCCAAACGAGCACCACCCATCAGTCCACACCACCTCAGGCAGGGCCTCCAGGCCTCATCTGGGCCATGCTCCCCTTAAGCAGAACTCCCCCCCACCGCTATCTGGTCACCAGGGAGTTAGTATCACTAACTTAATCCTAGACAGAGTTTGCATAGTTATTTCCACATTTTTATTCAATTAATTATTGCAATATCAATAGATCTTTAATTTTCTCATCAGTGAATAATAGGAATGAGCCTCAATTCCACAATATAATTAATTAGTTATGAGTGATCTAGTGCAAGTTCCTACTCAAAGTCCTGCTGAGACAAACCCCCAACCACTGCCCCTGGGAGGCCATCACCTGCAAGAGCCCAGACTGCCTGGATGGAGCAGAAGACACCCCCACCTGACCCAGCCTGGTCAGAGCCCCGGGTATTTTGCTGAGCTCAACAGACCCTCAGGAAGCACCTCCTGTGTGCCAATGCCTATGCTGGGTCCCTGGATGCAAGGATCGAGCTTCACCCCACCCTCAGGGGAATCCTGGCCTCAATGGCTCACATGGAAGAAGCAACAGAGACGTGAAGCAGATGGCTTGTAATAATGTACACTAATTCAATTACACAGATTTTTGTTGAGCATTTACTATGTGCCAAGCCCCGTGCTAGGTTCTGGCAACACAGTGGAACCTCATGGAAACAATGAGCCCACCTGGCAGGGAGTATGTGGTTGCTAAATCATGAACTGAGCCTTTTGAAGGCAGAGCAAGATTTACCAAGGAAAGAATAAGGTCAGGTGTTCCTGGCAGAAGGAACAACACATACGAAGATCGGAGGAGGACAATGGCATTCCTAGCTTTTGGATCATGGAGTGTTTGGAGCAAAAGGCCCCACAAGTTGCTGATGAGGGTATGGAGGAAGAGGGAGACTGCCTCCTGACCCAGACGCTGACCTTGAGAGCCTCAGGGGGCTAGGCTGAGGGCTGCCACACTTCCCCTCCCAGGACATCCAAGAAAGGACAAGGGCTCTTGACGTATCCTGAGCTGCCTGCTGGTGGAGGGATGCCCTCATCAGGCATTCACAGGCCCTGGCTCAGCCTGGGCTGAGGCAGGGGGTACTTTTAAAACTTTTGAAAGGGATATAGGTAAGGCAGCCAACTTAAAGAGTGCAAGGGGCTAAGGCCATATAGGAAGAATGGCCAAGCTGGAGCCCCTGCCCATGCCCACCTCCAAAACCCCTGTCCAGGCCACCTCGTCCAAAAGGGCCTCTCCAGCAGTACACTCTTCACACCCTACTCCCAAGAATCAGAGCTCTCCATGTGCCAGATACTGGTGCTTTGCATGGTGACCTTGCTCCATCCTCCGAGTAATGACATCCAGGCCACAGATGAGGAAACTCAGGCACAGAGAGGTAACATGCCCACAGTCACAGTAACAAGTGGTAGGACAGGGATCTGGTACTGACAGCCAATGGACACTGCTTGTCCATCAGCTCCTCACCCAGCCCCACCTGCCTCACCAAATTCCCCACCTCCAGCAGGCCTACGCTGGGCCCAGGCTCAAGCTCCCTGTGTCTCAGCTTCCTCGCCTGTAAAACAAGAGTTATAATAATGCCCACTTCCCAGGATGGGTGTGAAGATGTCAACTCCAGCAGAATGCATATCAACTGTAATTCTCAGTGCTGCTGCTGCTATCTGACAGTGGTGGTGGTTCATATCAAGGAACCCGATGCAGGTGTGGGTGCCATCAGGAACAGGTGCAAACCCAAAAGAAGAGGAAGAGGACCTGCCAGTAGGCAGTACCACCAAGGCCCAGAGGCCTGGCTCTGCAGACCCGTGCTCAATAGGGTAGGTCTCCTCTGGGGGAGGACAGGATAGGGGTCAGCCATCCTCAGATGGAGTCTTTAGGGGCTGAGTTACTCCTGGGCCCTAACCAGGCCTGGAGAGCCAAGCACTGTCAGGCTGTGCCCACCCCTCCTCATTCATTGACATGGCCCAAAGCCACTCAGCTGTCTGGGTCCTGTGTGTCAGATGCCAATGGGAACTCAGCTCCTCATAACCACCCTGTGAGCTAGACAACCCCACTTAACAGATGAGGAAACTGAGGCTCAGAGTGGTAAAGAACAAAAAACAATAATGAAAACAGCTAACACAGAGGGAGCAGTTCCTCTATGCCAGGCCCTGGAGAAAGAGTGTCAATTCTATCATCTCCCTTAATTTTCAAAAATAGTCTGAGTGAGGGATTGCTGCTGCCAGTATACAGACGAGGAAATCAAGGCCTGGAAATGAAAGTTGCTTGCCCAAAATGCCAGCGCCACCCATTAACAGCATGGGGTTCCCACCTTCCAGTCTGATTCTGGCCAACCTCCATTCACCCGCAGCCCCCAGCACAAGGCGGGCAGATGTCACGGCCGAGCAGGGGTCAAGCCGATCCCTCAGGACATTTAATCCAGCCTTCCCCAGTCCTCGCCACCATCTCTGCACACACGTGCCACACATGTGCACACAAGCACATGCATACATACCTGCACATACATGCACACACGTGTGCTTGTGTGCACTGTGTGTACACATATATACATACATGTATACATGTATGTGTGCACACCTGTATACACATATACACAGGCATGCAAACACAGCTCCTCTCCTTATCTCTCTTCCTCAATTGGGGGCATAATCAGGGTGAGGGCTGATAGTGGGACCTGGCCAGGGAATTTTTTTTTAACCAACTGCACTTCCTACCAATATCCACCAAAAGATGACAACTATGCAGAAACCCTTAGCAAGGTCAGTAATCCTGTCATAGCCCCAAGTTGGTGGGACAGTGGCACAGAGGAGCAGCCCTTCAAGGGGGCAGAGTTGCGGGGCCTGCTGTGTGTGCAAGTCCTGGACACAGATTCAGCAGAGCCAAGGCCTCCCTAATTCCCCTCAGAGGCCCCAGGCAGGCGCCAGAACAGGAACTATTGTCTGGTAAGAGACACGTGGATCTGATGCTCCCGCCCTAATTTCTCTAACTATTACAGATTAAATCGGGGATAATGTCTCTGATCTAGAAATCGGATTCGATGCAGCTTAAAGCCTGCTCAGACACCGCACCATTATGCTAAGCAGCGCGCCTGCAAGGAGGCTGCCACCCCCTCGTTAATCATCCCTGGCAGCAGGAGCACAGCCAGTCAGCCCCACCTCTGGCTCCAGCGGCGAACACAAGAGGCAGCGAGGCCTGGGCCCCTTTACCCTCTCGTGGATGGACAGACAGAGGGCAGCCATGGCCCCCTCCCTAATGCCACATGCCCAAAGAAATAGCCAAAGTGAGAGGTTTCCTTTCAAGACACCATTTCTGAGAGCCTAAGCTGAGCTAGTCCTCGAATATCCTCAGAGATGTAAATTATGTGGGTTGAGCTAATGAGCTATATACGTATCTTTCATCCCCTAATTAACTGTGGTTTAATGAATTTCTCAGTGCATTGCTGCCAGAATAGCCTTGCAGCCCAAAAGATTTTTTCCCCTCCATTGCAGGTAAATATTTAAACACCCCAAATTAAAAGGAGCACCAGGGCCCAAAATTGGAGGCTTGATGCTACCCAGGGTAATTAGACCCCTGTCGCACTGATTCCATGTTTTCATTTTTTCCTTTCTCCTCCTGAGGCGATGGCGGGGGACCTTAGGCACTAAGAACCTGGCCTGGTACAGAGCCTGGGGCTCCCTGTAGACCAACTGGCCTGTGTCCAGCTCCCAATACCTGGAAACTCCTCTCCTGGGCTCTGGGGGAGTGGATTAAGCCAGGGGAGGGAAGAGGGGACACTACCCGCCTGCTTCTCCCAGAGTTGGCACAGAAACCCCTTACGGCAAGTGGGCCAGTGGCCTGGGGAAGTTAGGAAACTGCCCATGCTGGGGCTCATGTCCCAGCACCTACCCCTCAGACAGTCACCCATTCCTATGGCCTGTCACCATCATCACTGCAGCTCCTACTACCATTCGCTTTACTCCATTCCTCTTCTACCATTCGCTTTACTCCATTCCTCCTCTACCATTCGCTTTACTCCATTCCTCCTCTACCATTTGCTTTACTCCATTCCTCCTCTACCATTTGCTTTACTCCATTCCTCCTCTACCATTCGCTTTACTCCATTCCTCCTCTACTATTCGCTTTACTCCATTCCTTGGTGGCCTCTGCAAAACAGAGAAGGCCCCACCCAAAGGAACTGCCTGTGACAGTGCTGTCCCCAAGTGGTGAATGGGCATCTCAGGTGGTCCTTGAAGCCACATGAGTGAGCAGCCACCACTCACCTGCCCCAAAGCTGTCCCTGCCCCACTTTCCCATGAGAAGTTTGGGCAGAAAGGAAGCCCCCGCTTCCCACCAGCCACAGCTGGCCGGCCTTGGGCACTCACAAAGCCACAGGCCAGAGGTCAGCAGAAGAAGAAGGCTGGGGCAGCACAGGAAGCCAGGGAAGGCAGGAAGAAGGAACCCTCATGGTCCCCATTCCAGCTGCAGCAGCCAGCCTCCCTGAGGCAGATGTCAAGAGTGTGCACGCATACTCCCAAACCCACCATGATCCATACAAAAAGGAGAGGTGAACCAAAAGCTGGGGCAGGCACCCATGTGCCTGGGGGCCAAGACGACCCAGGGTCAGGGAAAAACACAAGGGTCCTTCCCAGCTCTGCTCTCCCAGGGAGCCACGAGGCTGAAAGGTCAGTGCCACCAGAATCTGGGAACCAGGGCCTGTGCTGCTCCAGAACCTCTCTGGCCTTGACTTAGAGCCAGCCTGGAGGGCAAAGGATGCTCTCCCCTCAGCTGCACTCACCGGCCCTGCCACTCCCTGACCCCACTAACCACAGCCAGGCAGGTAAAGCCACAGGGCCTTGTGAAGCCACGGCCCACCTGGGCTCCCTGAGGGCCCTGTGTGGACACTTCTCGCTCTCCCGTGGCCTCTCTCTGAGGACAGCCTGGCCTGTCTGCTATCTGAGAGGAGCCCAGCCCTGGCCACCAACAGAAGGAACAAGCAAGGGAGCTCCTGACAGTGACTCCAGCTGGGTCTCAGCCACCACAACCCGGCCGCACCTGGGCCAGCTCACAGGGAAGAGGAGGAGCCTGAGAATCTGCCCATCCACATGGGGACCACTGAGCCATCTCCCCTTGCTGGCATTCCCTACCATTAACCCGGGCCTCCTCAAAGCCCCTGCCTCCTTTTCCAGGTCCCTCCATCCACCCTCCACCGCCCAGAACCCTGTCCCACCCCCACGTACCTTGCACAAGAACCCCCTCTTGTCTTCCTGACAACCCTGCCACCCACAGGGAATGGCACAGCCTGAAAGCTTATTCTAGGCCTGGTGTTCTCACAGCAGCCACCTCTCCAAAGCCAACCCCCTACACAGGGCCTCCCCCAGCCAGTGCTGGCTCCTACATGCCCCTCCCCACTCAATTTCAGTAACAATCACTGTGATGACTGTACTGATTTGTTCAGAGCCCTTGGACAGCTCACCAAGCTCTGTGGCATCCTTGGATCACTAAATATGGCCCCATAAGAATGACTGATGTCTCCTCTGCACATTGCTTATCCAATTAGAAATGAGCCTCATCTCTTTTTGGGTCCATGCTGCCTGACACCGTGCCTGGAACACCACAGGTGTCAGTAAATACATGTTGGCTCAATGACTGGATAGACTGATGGTCAGAAGGACAGATGGACAAGTGGGCAAGGGGGTAGGTGGATGGATGGATGAGTGGATGATGGATGGATGGATGGATGGATATATGAGTGGATGGGTGGGTAGATGAATAGATGGGTAAGTAGATGGAAGGACAGAGGGATGGACAGATGGATGGATAGATGGATGGATGGATAGATGGATAGACGGATGGATGGATGGATATATGAGTGGATGGGTGGGTAGATGAATAGATGGGTGGGTAGATGGAAAGACAGAGGGATGGACAGATGGATGGATGGATGGATGATGGATGAATGGATGGATGGACAGATGAGTTGATGAATGAATGGATGGTTGGCTGGGTGGGTAGAAAGAGTATAAAAGGATTGACAGATAGATGGATGAATGGATGGATAGATAAATTCTCAAACTAGTCACCAAAAAAGAGACCAAACCAGCCCCATAACGGTGAAAGTTTGGCTAAGCAGTCTCCAAGGGCAGAAGGCTAGAAGGAAAGGCTCTGGGTCTTCCAGTAAGGGGCCATGACTACCCCTAAAAGTTTTTTCAAAGTTGGGAAACTAAGATGAGAGAGGTGGGAGCTAGAGTCTGGGATTGAGAGGGGGAAGTGCCAAGGAATGTGGGAACAAGCACACTAGACAGAGCAGAGACTGGCACCGGCTGGGCCCCTGAGACCCCAGGGAGCACCCAGCCATGAACTAGAGAGGGGATGGCCCAGCACTCCTCCTTCAAGGAGGCCTGGCATAGGCACAGAGCCCAGGCAGAGTCTGAAGGGACCAACTTGAGCCCAAGACCAAGCCCTCTGAACACCAAACATGTGTTGGTAGTTGTCTCCAGATCCACCAAGCAGGCCCAGAATGTGGTTATGACCACCCTGACAACCAGATCCCCCCACAACCTCCACAGAGATGGGGGATCAACAAGAGCTGCCCCCAAGGGGCCCAATAGAGGGAGCTGCCCACCCCTCAAACTGCCTCCCACTTCCCCCAGAATGTTCAGAATCACTGCTTGCTTATTAAATTCCTTCCCAATAAACCAAAGCCACTTCCACAAAGTAGGCAGACGGTGCAGACACAGTGGCTTCAGATGGCAAAGGCACCATCTAATGAGGCAGCTCCTGCCAGCGGGAGTCACCTTCACCCACCTTCACCCCCGCAGCAGGCTGGGGCTGCCTGAGCACTGAGGCCCCACGCACAGCACCACCCACTGCCATGCTGGGCCCCACCTCAGCAGGTGGCCATATTCAGACAGATCTACAGAACCAAATTGGGAGAGGGAGGGCGGAGGGATTGCAACCTGGAGTGGTTAAAACAATAATATATTATCAATCAACAAAAAATAACTATGAGCTTCAGAATCAGCAGACTTGAAAGTTTTCTTTCTGCACTGGTCGTACAAAACGTTGGATAAATCCCAATCTCTCTAGACCTCTGCTCCCTGTCTGCAAATCGGGCATGACAATTCTTTTTTTTTTTTTTTTTTTTTTTTTTTTTTTTGAGACAAGGTCTCACTCTGTTGCCCTGGCTGCAGCGGCACAATCTCAACTCACTGCAACCTCCACCACCTGGGCTCAAGCGATCCTCCTACTTCAGCCTCCTGAGTAGCTGGGACTACAAACATGCACCACCACACCCAGCTAATTTTTGTATTTTTTGTAGACATGGAGTCTCACTATGTTGCTCAGGGTGGTCTTGAACTCCTGGGCTCCAGTGATCCACCTGCCTTGGCCTCCCAAAGTGTTAGGAATACAGTGCCCAGCCTGGGCATGACGATTCTTACCTCTCAGTTGCTATCAAGATTGAAGGAGCTGAAAAAGCAAATCAGCTCACAACACTTGAGCCGTGCAGGACCTAGGAAACAGGGCCACCCCCACCCTCAGTTTCCCAGGGAGAAGGAGCCAGCCTGTCTGATAGCTGCCTCCCTCACTGGAGGAGCCAAGACTGCCAGGGGGCCGAGATCAGCACTTAACTTTGGTGCAGGGCAGTCCACAAGGGCTCCCAGAAAACCCTCCTGTTCCCAAATACCTTCCCCTTCTGACAGCCACGATGCCTGGAAAGCCACGATTAGGTGGGGAGAGGGTCCCATACTGAGATCTCCCTATTTCTTAGAGGATGGGGGATCCCAGGATGCCCCTCCCTTGGCAGCAGGACCTATGTCCTGGGGTTAGACCTGGGAGATCAGAGAGGGCTTGGCATTTGGCCACCCACAGGCTAGTGAGTCCCAAGGTCACCATCAGTCCTACCTTCAAGGACTTCTCTGGAGTTAAGTCACAGTCTCCTCTGGATCCATCCTTGGACCCTCATATCCCACAACTCATCCTCTCCAGTCTCTGACATCAGACAAATCTACTTGAACACAGACCTGATTGTGCCCCTAGCTTGGCCCTCAGACCAGCCGCACAACAGTTGGCATCCCCTTTGAGGGTCTTGACTACCACCCAAGCTCCTCTCCTACCACACTCCACCTCCATTTGTCTTCCACACACCCCGACTCACCTCCATTTCTACCCCCCCACACCCTCCCCCACAACAGGAAGATAGCTGTTTCAGGCCTCTATGCCTTTGCCCAGGCAGTCCCTTCTTCCTGAAACTCCTCTCCCTCAACCATCACTTTGCTAATGCTCAGATGGCCTTCCTTGAGAAAGCCTCCAATCACCACCTCCATCACTGGGCCTCCAGGTCCTCTAATATATGTGTTCTTCTATGTCTATCTCCCCACAATAGAACCTTCCAATCCCCAGTTCCTGGTACAGTAACTCCTCATCAATGTTTGATAAATGGATGGATGGTGGAAGGATGAATGGATGGATGGTGGGTAGATGAATGGGTGGGTAGATGGATGGATAGGTGAGTAGGTGAATGGGGGGTGGGTGGATAGATGGATGGATGCATGGATGGATGGGTGGGTGGAAGGATGGATGAATGGGTGGGTAGTTGGATGGGTGAATGGATGGATGTGTGGGTAGCTGGGTGGGTGGATAGATGGATGGGTGAGTAGGTGGATGGATGCATGCATGTATGAGTCAACAGGAAGGTCACATAAAGAAGAGGCAAAGGCAAAAGTCAGTGGGGACATTGCTTCCAGTGGCCAAAATCTCCTCCATGCAGTCTCCTCCAGACTGGGAATAGGGCAGGTTTCCCTCTGTTCCAGGCATTCAAGGTGGCCCTAAGCAAAGGCAGAGGGTTGGCTGAGGTACCTCTCCAGCTTCCCCTCAACATTAAGTTTTCCCCTCCTGCTGCCTTTGAGCAGCCCCTCCGTTTCTACAGTTACCATCCCCATGCACAGGTCTTCTTGGAAGAAGAGCCATTCAGGACAGTTTCAGCATTGCAGTGTATTCATCAGCCAAGAGAAATGGTCTCAGTAAGCAGCAGGCAGCTTGTGTGAGTGTGCTGTGTTTTGGCTCCCAGTGGGGCACTCAGCAGGCTAATCTAAGGAATGCTTAAAAATTGCATGTGTACTGGGGGGCAGCCCCCGCCCGGCCAGCTGCCCAGTCTGGGAGGTGGGGGGCAGCCCCCGCCTGGCCAGCTGCCCTGTCTGGGAGGTGGGGGGCAGCCCCCGCCTGGCCAGCCGCCCAGTCCGGGAGGTGGGGGACAGCCCCCGCCCAGCCGCCGCCCCGTCTGGGAGGTGGGGGGCGCCTCTGCCCAGCCACCCGGTCTGGGAAGTGGGGAGCCCCTCTGCCCGGCCGCCACCCCGTCTGGGAGGTGGGGGGCCCCTCTGCCCGGCCACCACCCTGTCTGGGAGGTGTACCCAACAGCTCATTGAGAACGGGCCATGATGACAAAGGAGGTTTTGTCGAATAGAAAAGGGGGAAATGTGGGGAAAGGAAGGAGAGATCAGATTGTTATTGTGTCTGTGTAGAAAGAAGTAGACATAGGAGACTCCATTTTGTCCTGTACTAGGAAAAATTCTTCTGCCTTGGGATGCTGTTAATCTATAACCTTACCCCCAACCCCGTGCTCTCTGAAACATGTGCTGTGTCCACTAAGGGTTAAATGGATTAAGGGCGGTGCAAGTTGTGCTTTGTTAAACAGATGCTTGAAAGCAGCATACTCGTTAAGAGTCATCACCACTCCCTAATCTCAACTACCCAGGGACACAATCACTGCGGAAGGAAGGCGGCAGGGCCCTCTGCCTAGGAAAACCAGAGACCTTTCTTCACATGTTTATCTTCTGACCTTCCCTCCACTATTGTCCTATGACCCTGCCAAATCCCCCTCTCCGAGAAACACCCAAGAATGATCAATAAATACTAAAAAAAAAAAAAAAAAAAAAAAAAATTGCATGTATTTTTATATGCAATATGACATATTTATGCCAAATTACTGACAGCATTGGGGCCATGGCTGGTCCTCATACCCGAGGCTCAGTTCCCTCATGTCTGCGGGAGCTGGTCCCTCAAGCCTTGCAGGGCTACTACCTCAGCTTTTCCTGGAAAACCCTAGATTTACAGCCCTCTGCTTGCCTCCCTAGAACATCAGGCCCCTGACAGGAGTGGCCTGGGGATCTGGGATCAGGGCTGGGCACTGACCCAGGAAGGGAAGCTCAGAAGCTCCTCCTCCAAAGTTGTCACACTTCAGAATCTGCCAATCACTGCTGACAAGTGTCAGAGCCAGGACCAGGCATCAGCCAGATTGAAACAGGCCTTCACCAGGGGTCAGGAAGCACAGATACCTAGCACCTGTATGGCCTGACATTCATATCTAAAAACACTTTTGATGACCCTGAGCAGCTCAGGGCTGGGCTGTCTTAGAGTGCTCTGTGAGCACAAACCTCCCACAGGAATATCCTGTGAGCACAAACCTCCCCCATGGGATAGGCACTCTCATTGCCTAAAGGAGTCATCTGCAGCAAGACCAGCAGTGGCACCTGCATCTTGGGCTATGGTTAGATGTCATCCTCACTATCACTTGCAGAGGTTGGTACGGGTGTCCCCGTTCCATACATGAGGAAACTGAGGCTCTGACCTTACCTGGAGTTGCTCCACTACTAAGTAGCAGAGCCAGATACAGAGCCCAGGTCCAGCTGACCCACGGCCCTAGGGTGCTCTCCTCTCTGCCTTGGACCTGTGAAGCAGTACTGGATTCTAAGGGAGGCAGGGCAATGCCAGTCCTCACTCCAGCAGAGACCGGGATGTGGCCCAAGAAGAGCGTTAATATCACGCCCAGCCTGCAGTGTCTTCCTTCAGCCTCGGGCTGTCCAACTCAGTCACATCCATCCAGGCCTGGTCCAACATCACCTTCGTTGTGGGCCTCCTGGGACTCCCCAGGCAGTTCATGTGCCTCCTGCTCTGTGCTTCCTCCACTGCAGCAAGCCTAGTACATCCCTCCATTAGAATACTCATCACACTGCACTGTAAGGATTACTTACGGGTCTGTGTGAATGGATCCACAAAGTGCATGAATAAACAGATGAATAAATAAATACGTGGTTTGACACCATCTCTACTTTGGTGTGCAAATTCTGTATGTCTCCAGGAATGGAGAAGAAACTCATCTTCCCCCTAACAAGCTACAGTCAATGACTTCCATTTTTCTACACCAAAGACACTCAGCATCTGTCACCTTTGTTGGTAGCCAAGTGACACCATCTGATGCCTACTGTGGTCGAGTGGTGGAAGGATGTATTTACATAGTTTGTGCTCCCTGAGATAACATTACCGTCTCTGGGGGCCTCCGGCTGAGTGTGAGATATTGGTGCACAGCCTGAATTACCTCCACAGTGATTTCATGCTGAATTTGCTGAGTCTCCAAGCAAAGTCATAAATGTAAAGGAGGAGTGTTTCTCTGGGCCTTTGCCACATCTTTCATCCAGAAAATAAGTGGTGATAATATTTGTAATATGTTTACTGACAGAACCAGGGGCTCTGGGCAGATAACTCTTTTATGACACAAAGTACTTAACTAAGATGGAAAATGGCATTACTCATGTTAAATTTAAAATGAGCATTTTGTCCCAGATTGCTAGAAACCCAGTAAATGTCATTAGCTCTCTGAGGTTACAATGAAATCCGAAAAGGGTTACTTTTTGGTAATTACATTTACTGTAGCTATAGAAACCAGGGACATCAGACACAGCCAGGCTGACAGCTCTGTCTTTTCCCCTAAGATCAGCTCATCTGCATGTGGCCATCTCCAAAAGCCGGGTTCCACATCCTGCATCTCTGCATCGGAGGCCTGCTCTTGGGAGAACTGTTTTCCCCACAGGCACCAGGCTGGAGCCCCAGGACACAGGCTGCTGTGATTCTTCATTGGAAACTGATGATAAAAGACAGAGATAAGAACGCTCTTCCTGTGGCTTCTGCATTGAAATGTGCCTCCTGAATGTGTGCAGGGAGTGAGGCTTCCTGGGGCCATCGTTCTGTGGCAGATGCATTACTGAAGGCCAGCATGAAATTGTGCAAAGCACTTCCTCAGCACAGAGCTGTACATTGCCGCTCCCCAGCCCATCCGAACACTCCTCCCTCCCAGGCCCAGAGACACACCCACCCAGCCAGGCCCTGAAGCTCCACCCGCCTTCTTGGACTACACTGCAGCATGGGAGGACAAGAAGGCCAGGCCCCGAGGGCATCAGGAAAGGGGATCAGGACAGACACACGAGGGAACTTGGGAGCTGGAGCCACCTTCAGCCTCAGTGGGAAATAGGCCAATGTCCGTGTTAGCCAGCTAGAAGGGCCAGCCCCTTCCCTCTCCACCTGTAACCACCTTCCCTCACGATCCATGACACAGCAACAACTCCCTCACCATCTGTGACACTTGACACCGACCCTCACATCTATGACAAAGCCATACCTTCCCTCACCTCAGGTATGTGACTGCCAGCTACTTCCCCTCCATCTGGGACAGGCAGCACCTGCCCTCACCACCTGTACAGAAAGCCAACAGCTTTCCTTACCACCCACCAACACTAACACCTTGATTTGTCACCTGTCACCGCCACCCCCTTCCCTTGCCACCCAGACCTACAGCCAACAGCTTTCCTCATTACTGATACCAGGCAACACCCTCCTACACCACCTATGTGCATGACAGCAAACACCTTTCCTTAGCACAGGATAGCAACCAACACTTTCCCTCAGCACCTGTGACAGTCAGCCTCCTCCCTCACAACCCCATGAGACAACCAACACCTGTCCTCACCACCTGTGAGTGCTGACACCTGCCCTCACCAACTGAGGGAGCTAATGCCTGCCCTTGCCTTCTGGAGGTAACCAGAATTTCCCACATCATCTTCATCTAGGCCAGAGGTTCTCAAAGTGGGGTCCCCAGACCAGCAGCACCAGCATCTCCTGGGAACTTGTTAGATTTCAATTTCTTACAAATTCTCAGACAAACATAGCAAATCAGAAACTTTTGAGGTGGGGCTCTGTAATTGTGTCTTTTGACAAGATCCAGGTGACGGATGCACATAAAATTTGAGAACTACCGTAGCTGCTCCTTAGAATCACCTGGGTAGCTTTCAAAACCCTTGATACTCACGTTGCAGCCCCATAGTGCGGGAGCCTGGAGTCAGTGTTCACACACTCCTGGATGATTCATGCAGCTGGGGCCACACCCTGGCCCTGTGTGCTTCTCCACAATGGCAGGCAGGGCCCAGTAGGCTTCCAGCTGTGCTGCCACTAAAGCAGAGCCGCTGAAGCCTGGGGCTGCCCATCACCTGTCAGATGCCCAGCAGCTCCCCACTGGACCACAGAAATGCCTAGGAGACAAGAGTTCCTGCAAGCGAACCTGGCTGAACCAGTGCCGGCTGCACAGCCCCAGCCAGGGATCCCCAAGCAGGCTGGCCTTGCCTGAGGGACCCTCACTAAAGCAGGGGAAAACCTCCAGGACTCAGGAAGCACAGATAAGGACCAGCCCCTGGAGAAAGCCACATGAGGAAGCCCAGGGCAAACAACTCCAGCCTGAGCCTGGCCTCCACACCCCCAAGACCAGGCCTGCCCTTGGTCATAGCCACTCTCCCTGATCCTTTCCCACTGTGTCTCCTGCTCCATGGGCTCCCCACCCACCTGGATGTCACCCCACACCCTTGTCCCCCACTCCCTGGGGAATCACAAGTATTTAAGAAGGGCGTGCAAAGAAGCAAGCCAAGATGCAAACATGCTTTTCTTTTCTTTATTTTCAAATATTCTGTCATGCATCTATATTGTATCTGTACTTTAAAATTAATAATTAAAACAAACTGTGTCCAGAGAAGCTGGACAGAGAAGCTGTCTCTCCATCCCAAGGGATCAATGCCTATATAATTCACAAGACTCTTTGGGACATTAACAAGTAACTGAGTGCAGCACAACTTGGAGGCTGGGTAGCACTTTTAGAGAAGCGCACTAAGGCCAAGGTCAATGTCCCCTGACACTCATATACTAGCCCCTCAGGAGGCCCTCCCTGTGCTCACCACCCTTGGGATGCAGTGGCTGAGCTCCCTTGCCACCTGTGTGCACATCTGGCTAGGCTCTGTGCACCTGTGGCTCGGGTCACCCTTTTCCTCCTGCAGTCGCAAGCTCTCTTGCCCGGTGCCCAGCCTTGTGGCACTGGCAAACTGACACCTGTCATCACCTCAGAGAGGACGTGCACTGCCCCCTGGGGACCTAGGGTGTCCCCAGCACTGTCCCCATAAGGATTTGGTTTGGTCCTATCAGCTAGGATGTCAGAGCTAGAGAGATGGCTGCGTGCACTCACTTGTGCTGGGCTGAGTCGGCAGGTGGACAGACCACTTGAGCAGGAGCCCCAGGGGCCTCGCCTGGGCTGCCCAGCTCCACACACACCACATCTCACCTCCCATGTCCAACACAGTCTGCCCTGTCTTCTGAAGCTGCCGCACCCCCAACCACTACACGGCCTCCCCCATGGTGTGCACAACAGCCGGTAACCAGGGCTCCTGGAGAGGATCCCAGGGTCATTCGGATCACAGCCCTTGCCTTTCCTTAAAATACAGGCATGAAACAGAAATCTTCCAGCTCAGCAGTAGTTGGCACAGCTTTTCCAGACGCACAGGTGGGTCTGTGTGAATTTTGTCTGTGTGTCTTGCTCAGGACAGCCCTGGACAGAAGGGTGACTCCATGGGCCCCTACCCAATAGCTCCAACTCCTAGGAACTCTGACTGCTCTTCTTTCCCCTATTGTCACCCTGAGGCTGCATCTCTGGCCACGGCAGGGGCTCTGCTCCCACAAGGAACAGCCCAGTTGGCTCCCATGGGCACTGAATTTGCTAAGATGATATCAATGTCTCAGGGTGCTGTGGTTCACACCTGTAATCCCAGCATTTCAGGAGGCTGAGGTGGGAGGATCACTTGAGCCCAGGAGTCTGAGGCTACAGTGAACCATGATGGCACCACTGCACTCCACCCTGGGTGACAGAGTGAGACCCTGTCTCTAAATAATTAATTAATTAAATGTCGTCATGTCCCCATGACTGCAATTAAACTCACCCTGTTGGCAAGAGGGTCCAAAAGTGACGATTGACAGAGAAGCTCTCTCTCTCTCTCCATCCCAAGGGATCTCTCTTTGTCTCTCTCTCTCTCTCTTCATATATGTATATATAATTCACAAGACTCTTTGGGACATTAACAAGTAACCTAGTGCAGCACAACATGGAGGATTAGAGAAGCACATGAGATCACAGCCTGACCTGGTGAGCTGCCTATTCTGCTGGTGTCTCCCGTCCACTCTGTTGTGTGCCCTTCAAAGCTGGCCTCTATGGACTCAGCTCCTGGGCTCCCTTGCCCCTTGGCTTCTACCTGGCTTCAGCCACCGGGAAGCATCAGCAGATCAGAGGGCTGAGCTGGGCCTGGGTTTACAGTAGCTGTGTTCCCCAGTGAAGGACACAGTTCCCACTGGCAGCCCCTCTCTGCCTGCTGCATCCTTCTCTCAGGCTCAGCAACACAGCCCCTGTCCCTTCAGGCCCAGGGATAGTGCATCTCCCTAGCACTGATACCCTCTGAGTGCTTCCCTGTCCCTGCTGGGTTCCTCTGTATTCAAATCTGTTCAGTGCCCCTTTGGAATACGTGATCTGTTTCTTCCCAAACACTGACTAAAGCACCTCAAGAGTCAACAACCTTAGGCTTTGACGCAGAGTTGGATTTCAATGAGGTATTCACACAGTCCTCTCTGAGGTGGGCTGGGTGCTAGTGCAATTAGGTGCATTCAGAGATAACAACTGGCAGAGTCTCTAGTGATAGGCCTTAGGGCTCTATCCTCAGACCTGTCTGCTCAACAGTTTTATCAATGACTGCAGAGGATATTGATTGCTACTGATTCCACTTGAGAGAGACTTAATACAGTGTGTGGGATACAAAAAGATCTGGCCATCTGGACCAATGGGCCATAATGAGCAAAACGGAGCTCAACAGAGATGGATTGAGAGTCACAGACATAAGAACAGGTGGAAAAGACTCAACTAGGAGCTTGTGGGAGAAGATCTGGATGCAACTACCTTTAAGCTTAATATAAGCCAACAGACTGATGTGGCCACCACTGTGTGAATTCATGATATCATACCCTAGATAAGGAGGGAGAGATCCCCTCCAAACAGTCCAGATGGCAGCTGAGCGCTGAGATCCATTCTGGGCTCTACATTCAGTAGGGACAGTGATACTATGGGGAAGAATTAGAAGGGAATAGCCAGGCAGGTGTATGGGACACAGAACTCATCATGGGGCATGGCTGAGAAACACAGAGAGGGCCTGGGAGAAGGCAGACTAAGTGTGAAGATGACATGAGCGCCAACTCCAGACACCTAAAAGGATTATCTCCAGGAAGATAAAGAACAGGGGAGCAATGCCAAGGAGGTTCCCCCTTTAATCCAATTAAAACAGTCTGTAATCCACTGAAACAAAGACTTCCTCAGCAGCACCAACAGCAATGAGCAAAACACATGCCCAGTCTCTAACTGCAGGCTTCCTGCCACCAACCATGGTGCTGGTTGGTGTCCCGCCTCCAGCCCCACAACTTAGTTTTCTACCCCAGTGAGGCTTCTAAACCCCTCAGCAAAACAGGAAGAAACAACAGAGAAAACTCAAAGTGCAGTAAATAGGTAAAGGAAATAAAAATCCCTACAGTCCAGTTTCAAAATTTCATGAGAATAGCCAACCCTAAAACAGACTCACATATAGAGCATAAGATTTTAGAAAAATACTACCAATTATTTTCAAAGATAAAAAAATACATCAGCTGAATGATATAATTCAAAACAAAATTAATATCTGTATGATTCTAATAGAATCACTGTTGGAAGCTGTAAAAAACAAAATTGGTATTGCCAAGAAACCATACCAGTGAAACAAAGAATATATTTGAGAAATGTATTTGTCAGTTTAAGCTAAGATATGCTACTGTAACAAGCAACCCCAAAATCTCAGTGGCTTAAATCAGCAAAAAGTGATTTTCCTCTCACACTTTTTTTGTAGGTTGTTTATGGTAGGTTGGCTGCAGCTCTGTCCCACAGCATCTTTATTCCAAGACCCAGGCTTGAGGGAGAAGCCCCCATCTCTCATGGCAGAGGGAAAAACAAACCATGTGGCAGCTCTTAGAGCTTGTTCAAAAGAGGCCTCTGTCACTTTCACCCTCACTTCATTGGCCCTGGCAAGTCACATGGCCAAGGATGACATCATAAGGGCAGCTTGTAAATCCTCCCACAGAGAGAAGCAGTGGATATTTTGAACAATGAAACAATCTACTCCACATATCCAGACAACAGACTAAGTAAGTGGAGGCTTTTTGTAATGTGAAAGATGACACATACAAGAGAAAATGCAGGGAGAACCCAATTACAGGGACACGATTTCCAAAGAAGACATAAGAAACTGATCATAGCTGATCATCACCTCAATAGAAAAATTCCTGGAACTGAACGAAGAACTGAGATTAGAAATCAAAAGGACAAAACCAGTCTTAGTTTATGCACAGAAATTAATGCTAAGTTTCATAACTGAACAATGCTTAAATTTCAAAGAAAAAGAGAGAACCTCTGATGAGGAAAACAGAGCAGCTGTGGCCTCAAAAAGGTGGGCGCTGATGGCTGGACACAGGCCAACATGTGCTGCCCAGCTGTGCCCTTAAAGCTGCAGGAGGAGCTATAAGAACATGAAGCTGTTTCCTTTGACGACCCAGCCCCCTGCCCTAGGGCAAGTGGCCTAGCCTAGCCTCTTTGCAAGCTGTCAGCCCTAACAGTTTAACCCAAAAATGTAAAGACAAGATTCTGTTTCCAGACCTCTGCAGTCTTTACCTCTCTCTCTACCTCTCTCTCTCTCTCCTCTCTCCTTAATCTGTACCTATCCATGTTCACTGATGACAACTAATGACTTTCCTCCCTTGTGTGCGTGTAAACAATGCGTACAGAAAGTTGAATGTCTCTGAATTATTAAAGAATATCATTAAATTATGTAAATACATCTATATCATTACATACGAGGTTGTATATTAATTTAAAAATACAAATTGTCAAGGAAAAACTTGGGTACTGCCAACATAGGGGAGTGGGGAATCTGTAAGTTTCAAATCAGAAATGAAGTCAATTATTTCAAATTCAATCAAGTGCAGAGTCCAGTTGCATTCCTAATAACACATGTCTGTGTGTGTGTGTGTGTGTGCACGCACATGCGTGTGCAAGTCTGCACAAATGGCAGGGGCAGGGAAGGAAAGACAGCAGAAGGCAAAGGGAAGAGAGTCCAGTAAGGAAAGTGAACTGAGAGGAAGAGGCCAGATAGAGGCCACACTCTGACCTCTTCCATAGCAGGCTCCAAATAGTGATCAAGAAGTCCCTGAGACCCACCAGCAGTCCCTCTGAAGGTTCCTCCATTCAGTGGGAAGCACCTAGTCACCTGGCTCACTAGGATTTCTCACTGGGGAAGCACATGAGAGCCCAGGCAGTGGTTTCTCCTTGTGAATTAATACGCTGGCTTGTGTTCAGCCAAAAATCAGTCTCTTCTGAGCTTGGTTAGTGTGAACTGGTCTCTAGCTGGTCCTGAGATAACAGTGAGCCTGCCCTCACCCCATGGAACACCTGTGTGGAGTAGTCAGGGCAACAACCAGCATTCCTCTCCTGCACCTTGTTCTCTGTTCTACCTTCAACAGGGAAATCTGAGTACCAACCACGTGGCTTCCTTCCACTTTTGGGCCAGCATTGGAAAGCACTGATTCCATCCCAGGCACTCAGCTACAGACTGTGGATATTACTTCATGATAATACTTACACCAATCTTTACAAACAGCACGTACCAGTAACACCTTCATTTTAGAAATGAGGAAAGCCAGGCTCAGAGAAGTTAGGTAACTTTCCCTAGGTCACACAGCAAGTGACAAAGCTAGATTTACAAGCCAGATCTGCCTCTAAGAACTTCTATGCTCCCACCACCCCAACCATGTGTCCCACTCTGTCTTCCTGGTTGGAGCTTCATCAATAATCCCTGGACTCTAATGGGACCTTCAGGAGCTCCCGGTCCTCATAGGGATGCAGACAGACACAACTGGAATGGACACCAGTAGCAGATGACATCCTAGAAGGCTCAAGGCAGAGGCCAGGGAGGGCTGTTAAGAGCTGGGCCATCGGAATGAGTAAGAAGGCAGAGGTGGGATGTGAGCCTCCAGAAAATGGAAAATCCTCGCCCAGCCCCACGTCCCCTGAGCCTGATTGGGAATGAGATAACCATGATAACAGACACGGACAGTGATGGAAAGCATGGTCCCCAGAGACACCCCTTCATTCAGACTCCACAATTACCAGCACACACATGCCAAGCCACTCGGCTCCAGAGCTGATAAGACAGCCGGTTCCTTCACCTGTGATGGAGGAAATGTTTTGTATTTTCTGCTTTAGCTTTAATTTGGAGCTAAACAAAGACCCAGCAGGTGGGAGAAGGAGTGCTGCCTGGAGAGCCTTCTCCTAGCCTCCTAAACACACGTTCCTCAAACCGAAGAAAAAGCTGGGTGTGGGCTGCAAAGCCCGGAGAAGCCTCTGTGCCCACTCCACAGGGAGCAAAACACCCAGCCATGAGGGCTGGGGCCCCTGTAGCAACCCAGGTTCTATGCTTGGTGCTTCCTCCCCACAACCCTGGGAGGTGGTACTATGATTATCTCGATTTTATGGATGAGGAAACTGAGGCTTACACAAGTTATGTGACTTGCAAAATAACAGGACAGAACCAAATTTGAAGCTACCCCTATCTGAGCCCAGAGCTCTATGCTAGCAGGGCCTGCAGGACCCCTGGGGGAGAAAAAGGGCCCCCAGGACCTGCCGGCATGGCAAAGGGGTGAGATTCAAAGCTGGCCACAGACTATCCATTGCATAGTGAGGATCGGATGTGAAAAGCACTTAGCACAGAGCCTGGCACTGGGCAAATGCTCAGTAGCTGTCATTACTCAGAAGACTGCAAGCACCACAAGGACAGAGACCTCATCTGCTTTGCTCACCTGGAGAGCACCCAATGTACTGGGAAGGAGGTGCTCCACTAACCGCTAGGACCCATATTCCTGCCCCAAGCCAGGGGCGTTTTCCTCTTCCAACCTCTTGGTTAGGTCAGTGAGAAACTCGAGTGGATCAGGTAAGAAGGAGCAAGGCCAAAAGGACAAGGAAAAGGCAGCGCAAGACAGAGGCAACCCACCATCCCAAAGGCCAGATCCTGCTGGATGCAGCAAAACCCCAGGTCACCCACTCTCACCTGAGCAGGGGCATTGAGGTGGCACACACACACATACACATCCGGGCAGCCACCAGCATCCAGGTCATCCTGCTCCCCAGTCAACCCCTGGAGGTCACACAAGGCTTCATTGCTTACCATTGTATCTCAGAGCCTGGCACAAGTATGTGCTCCATAAGCATTTGTTACAGGACATTGGGGCCCAAAGAGCTGTGTGCCAGACATCAGCCCAGGAGCTTCACTCTTCATGCCAGTCTCACAAAGTGAAAGCATTATTCTGGCATCGGCAGGTGAAAACTGAGGCTCGGATAGGTGAAGCAGTGTGTCCAGCGTAACACAGCCAGGAGGTGGCAGTGGTGAATCTGGCCCCAAAGCCTGCGCTCTTTACACTGTGCAAGTCACCTTCTAGAAGGAGGAGGAAGCAGGGGAAGAAAGGCGCTGATCTGAAAGCAGTTAGTCTGCCCCTCAGCAGCCTCTCGGAGCTCTGCTCCTACTGAGCCCAGGAAGCCAGGCAGAAACCAAGCACAATGGCTCCTGGAGGCAATGGCTGTCTTTAAGTTTGGCCCAGAGCAAAGCCAAGCTCTCCACTGAGATTCTGATCCCACCCAGCCAGGGGCTTACTAGGCACTGGCCAGACCTTGGGCACCCAGGAAGGGAGGCTTTATTCCCCCACCCACCTCGAAGAGCTTGCGTCCTTCAGTTCGGCCCCCTGGTCCATGCCACAGGGTCTAGGCCCAGCCGGACAGCAGCCTCCTGGGTCCCCACACCCCACCACACCATCTTGGGCATGGATGCTGGCAGAGGGCCAAGAGTGGAGGGCGCCTTCTGGAGGAAGGGAACGTGGCTCCACCCCCAAGCGTTCTCTTATTACGTGCTCTGGACCACAGCCCTGTTAGGAAGGGCCCCTTCCCCACTTCACTGTTAACAAACTGAGCTCAGAGAGGTTAAATAACTTGCCTGAAGATCGCCCAGCTGGCCAACGACACGCAAACCTAGGGACACAAAACGCAAAGCCCTAACCAAGGAACACTGCCTCTCAGCGCACCCTAATTCCAACCCCGATTCTGCCAGACTTCTGCGTTGTCCACACAACTAAAGGTTTGCTCCTTTACCATGGAGGCTTGGCGACAGAGAGCCCAGGAGCCAGAAGCCCTGAGCCCGCCCCCGCAGGAAGCTCCCTGCGCGGCGTTCCCAGGCCGGCATCGCCCGCCCTCCCTCCCCCGAGAGCATAGGCTGCGTTTGTGGGAAACCAGGGCTCAGCGCGCTGGGAGGGAGTCAATTTATTCTGGAGAAAACATCTTTGTTCTGCGAGTGAAGGGGAGCCATTTCCAACAATTTAATGCTCTGTTCGCGGGCCCGGGTGCTGGGGTTGCAGCACGAGGCTTGTTCTTCGAGGCAGAGCCGCACATAATGAGGCTTCTCACTACTGCTCCCCGTCATCGTGCCAAAAACCAGAACGGTTATTTATCCATTAATCTGACATTACACCCCCTGCATTTTATCTGCTTAAATAAATTTGGTGGTTAGAGTGTGTGCCTGGCGGAGAAGCTCCCGCATTCAATTCCCTTCGCGCCACGGCGCGCAACGTTGCCATTGTAAACCGGCCTTGGAGTGGCGGGGCCGCGGTGGGCCAGCTGGGAAATGAGACGGCAGCGGGGAGGATCCCGCCTCTCCCAGCTCGTCAGAATCCAGGCCCAACGGGACGGTTCCCCAGACACTGACTTCGGGGTTCCAGCGTGCAGCACCAAGTCACGTGGGCGCCGTGGCCTTTCACCTGCAGAACAAGCCGCCCCCTTCGCCAGCACCTACAGGCAGCGAGAACAGAGGCCAAACCCCGTCCTAGACCCCACTGCCTGGGCTGGAATCCTGCTGTGCCACTCACTAGTTGTGGGACCTTGAGATGTCACCTCACCTCTGATGCCTGTTTCCCCACCTCCCTCCCCCTCGGGTTGTGAGAATTGAGTCACTATTTATAAAGTGCTTAGAACAGTGCCTGGTACATATCAAGTGCTCAATAAGAGTTGGTTTTAAAATATTAATTTTTAAAATCTAGGACAATTGTTTATGTTTGGAAGTAGGCTTTGGAGATGGGCTAGACCACTGGGTTTCCCCACCTCAACCCACTTCACTAAGTTAAGAAAAGTGGGTTTCATGGAATATTTCATTTGAACAAAGAGTGCCACTGCTTGAAAATATTTGGCTCACATTTTGCAGAGGAGCAAACAGAAAGCCAGAGAGGGGAAGGGACTTGTCCAGGAGCCTCTGCAAGTTCACAGCAGAGCTGGGAGCCGAATCCAGGCTGCCCACCTGCCGGGTCAGGTGTTTTATTGGCAGCATGAGCTCCTGGGATGTTCATTCACCTCATTTTCATTGCCAGTCACGCTGACCCACAGAAGGTACTGCTGGGCACCCTCCTCTCCCATCCCAGCAGCTGCAGTACCACCCCACGCTGGAGCTAAGAGCCCAGCCCCACCAACAGGTGAGACCCATGACCCTCAGACTTCAACACGCCCCACTCTGGAGCCTGGCCAGGCCTTTTCATTTGTCCTTCATTTGTTCTTTCCTATCATCCTCTGGTTCTCTACAACATTTCCTTGGCCCGGAAACTTGCTGGAACTTCCTGCCTGTCCTCCCTACATCTGTCTGCCCCTTGTACCCTGTACCCCTGCCCCATAGGCTGGAGACTACCCCAGAGGGAGGAATCCCACCACCACTCAGTCCCTTGGATGTGGGCCCCCCTTGGAAGCAGTTTTGCCCAGCTCAGATCCAGCCTGAGCTCACCACACTCTCTAGGAGCCCATTCCTGAACACCTCCCAGAGGCTGGCCACTCCACCTGGAGAGCAAGGTTTCCACAATCTTCTCTGGCTCAGGAGGGCCTGGCCTGATGCCCCACGCTGACTGTGGAGGTAGGTTGGGAGCGAAGTGGTGAGTCTGTAACCAGAGAGAAGAGCCATGTCCCATGCAGGAGCCGCTCTGCCCAGGCAGCTGCAGGCCCAGCCCCTGCCTCCTTCAGAGCAACAGAGAGGCAGGCATGCGGGCAGACAGACGCCCAACACAGAGACCTCCCACACGCTCGTCTGTGTCACCGCCGCCCCTTCCTGGTTGGCCCTGCAGACGAGGAAGCCCTCCAACCTGCAGCCAAATTCACTCCTTGCTGACAAGAGGCTCCTAGAGGAGAAGGGCTACTCCCCGGCCCCCAGGAAACTCTCTGAACATAGCTATCTGCCATCAAGGCCTGGATCAGCCAAGCAGGAGCTGCACTTGCCCAGCCTTTTCCTTCCTAGCCACACTTAAGCAAGACAAGTGGCATGGGCACGGAGAGGCTCCCCTGGCCACACACTGGGCAGGGACAGACCTGGGCTACTCATCCTTTCTGAGCAGCTAGCCTGGCCCAGGCCTGCAGACTGAGTGGCCCACCCTGCCCGGCCCCCCATAGGCATGAGCTCCCATACCCCCACCTCAGGCATGGTTCCATTATAACAAATTATCCTCGTTCACCTCCCACTCCACTTCTCTGACGGCTCCCTCTCTTGACTCTTGTCCTGCCTTTGTCCCATCCTTGCCCCCGACCGATGGCTGCTATTGCAAAAGTGATCCGAGTTCTGAATTTCAGCAGCATTTGATCATTTCAACTGGACCCAGCCCTGATAACCTGTGCCAGGCACTGTGCCAAGTGCTTTAAAATCTAGGACTTAATTAGGTATGACCCTTCTATTTTACAGATGAGGACACTGAGGCTTGCCCACAGGCATAGAGCTATTAAGTGGCCCAGCGTGGATTTGAATCCAGATGTGTCTGAATCCAGAGCCCCAGGTCTTACCACCAGCCCTGCCACGTGGCTGGCACACCCACAGATGTGTTCTCACCCCATGAGTAAAATCAGACACTCATTCTTGCTCTTGCAGCCATAGAGGTTGGAGGGAAGAGGGCTGAGCCCCTCAGGGGATGGTTTCTGCAAGTTCTGTTCAGGGATCTGTCTTCCTTCAGTGCCACTAACACTCACCTGTCATTGCAGGCAAGAGGAAATCAACATTTTACAGCAATAAAAGGCTGCTCCTGGTTAGGCATCAAACGAATCAATCTTCTCTGACAGTTAATTTTCATTTTGCAACTTTCCCCAGCAACAACAGCAAGTAATGACCCTGAGGATCTGCAAAGTCGCTGATCAGCAGCCCAGCCTCCCATACTCCTGACTCATCCACTGCCCTGGCTCAGCCCCTTGCCACCCATGCCCACCATTCACCTCCCCCTTCAGCCCTCTGAGATCCAGGGGTCTCTCTGCCCAGTGACCCCTCTCAGAGGCTCAGGTCTAAACTTCCCCGTGGAGCGCTGAGACAAGAAACAGACACACCAGAGCTCACAGTTGAAGCCACCCTGCTGGGGTAGTCACTGAGGACCCCCTGGCCAACAGCACCATTCCATCCTCGCTGCTCCCACCTCCCACCTCATCAGTGATCCTCCCCCTCCTGATAACCCATCATCACTGCCTCCCTAACACACCTATGACCCCAGCTATGACTCCAGGACCTGCCACCAACCCCCAATGCACAGCACCAGTGACGCCATCAGAAAGCTCCTCCAGCAAATCCCTCTAATTCCTGCAAACCTCCTCCCAGAGCATTCACACACGGCATCCCTGCCTACCCCCAAATTCCATCAATAACCCCAAAACTACCACATCTGACCCCCAAATACACCATGCCTTCCCAGCACTTCTACACAGCTGAGGAGCCCCCAGGCTCTGCACCTGTCCCCAGCCCTGCCCTAATCTGGTTCGAGGCTTCCTGATCTTTTACACACCACAGTCAGATGAGAGGATTCTTTCCCAGGGGAGGGCCCTCCTGCCCAACTCCCATGATCCCAGGTCAGTGATGAGTGTCAGCCCAGCTCAGAGCCGCCAGGCCCAATTCTCCAGAACCTACTCTGTGGCCTGGCAAGAGAGATAAGAAAAGGCCCACTGGGCCCCTGGACTGTGGCTCCATGGTGGCCTCTACACCAATTGCAGCAGCTTTCACAGGCTTAGGAAACCCTCTTGGTCCCCTGAACCCTGGGATTCACAGGCAGCATGGAGCTTAAGTCCCCAGAGTTTTCTCATGAGGCCTACTACTTCCTGCCGGGCTATAGGATTGGGTAGTGGGACTCCCCCTACCCCTCCACTTCCCCAAAATGCCCAAGACCAGGCAAACACCAAGCCAAGGAGGACTCTTCCCCTATCCCCACAGAGCCTCTGTCCCCAAGAACAAGAGTAAATACCATTTAGTGAGGCTCTCTGTGTGCCTAGCATGGTGCCAGCCAGGCTGACCACTCAGCACAGGGCCACGTCAGCATCACGTCACGGCATGGATTCCCACCCCGGGAAAGTGCTTGGCACACAGCAGACAGCCACAAACATGTATTAAATAAATGAATAGATGGAATGCCTTCCAACTGTTACCTCATGAAATATCTCAGCCCCTGCAAGCTGGATATTATCATCCCAACTTCAATTTGAGGAAACAGGCTTCAAAAGGGCAGCTTGCAGCTGAAAGTCATGTAGCCATCAATGGGCAGAGCCACATTCAAACCCAAATCTGTGCAAACTCAGAGGCTCTGCTGTCTCTGATCCACATACGGTCCCATTCAACAAGGACAACAGCGGTGATGGCAGCTCAACCCAGCCCCGCCCTGGGGCTGCTGAGTGCCCATCTCTTCCTGACACCAAACTGCAGCTCCAGGAAGTACAGGCGGCAGCCCCTACATCTCCCTGGCAACCCAGGAGCTTTTGTTCAGGAAGAATGAAGCTGATTCATCCCCCCAGGGTGAACAGCAGGGTCTAGACCTGTGAATGCAGCCTAGAGCCACCCAGGCTGGATAGATGCATGCAGGGACGGGGCCCTTGCTGGAGTTTCTGGGCAGGCAGTTCCGAGTGCCCACCACACCCACTAGCCAGAACTCCACGGCCATGGCTCAGCTGAAAGACAACAAAAGGGACATGACATCCCACCCACAATGAAGAAAGCCTTACTCCTGGCCCTGCCCAGCTCTCCAGCCTCCTCCTCTGCCCACACACTTCCATAGGTCCCCAGAGCTCCAGAGACACAGGCCACTAGCCTGCACCCAGCACTGTGCTCTCTCATCCCTGAACCTTTTCACACTTTGTCCCTCAAACTGCAGAGGCCCTTCCATTCTTGCACCTCACTAGGGATTTCTTAGCTTCAAACTGGGGGTTCAGACACTGTTGCCTCTGCAGTTCTCCCTGTGAAGAATGTGTCACTGCTCTGCGCACCCACAGCCCGGTGCTCGCCTGTGTCATGCACAGTCATCTTACCCGGAGGCAAACCTTTCCTGGGTTATAACTGTCCCTTCCCTAGACAGTAAGCTTCTGGAGGGGCCCCTCTCCACCAAGCAGCCCCAGTTTCAGCACAGAAAGACACACACGGGGCATCTGAAAGTCACCACTGATGGGAGCTTTCAGGGTATCCATAGTTAACTGCTACCCGGTATGCTCCCCAACTCCTCAGAGCTAGGCCTGCCAGGGACCTGCTCTGGCCAATAAAATGGAAGCCGTGTGATAAGCATTTCTTCCCGGCAGATGTTTCCAAGCTGGTTCCAGCTTCCCGGTTCCTCTCTACCGGTATCACCAACAGCATTTGGATACTGGCTGCTTGTCAGCCTGTTTCCTGGAGGAAGAGGATGGCAGGGAGCATAGCCCAGGACCGTCCGTGATGGACATGCAGCCTGAGCAAGGAATCAGTCACTGAAGTGTGGGGGTTGTTTGTTACCACGGGGGCTAGCCCATTTGAACCCATGCAAGGCGTGAGAGAACCATGCTTCCTGCAGCATCCAGGCCAGCACAAGGGTCAGGGACTCGAATAGGAGGCCACCAACACCATTTGCTGGCTTTCTACATAGGCTTAGTGCCAGATATGTCCCTATGATAACCACATGATGAAATCTGAAAAAGTAAGAGGCACGTGAAGCATGTTAGAAAGATTGGGGTTTGGAGCCGGGCGCAGTGGCTCACACCTATAATCCCAGCACTCTGGGATGCCAAGGCGGGCTGATCACTTAAGGTCAGGAGTTTGAGACTAGCCTGGTCAACATGGTGAAACCCCATCTCTACTAAAAATACAAAAATGAGCTGGGTGTGGTGGCACATGCCTGTAGTCCCAGCTACTTGGGAGGCTGAGGCAGGAGGCTTGCTTGACCTGTGAGGCGGAGGTTGCAGTGAGCTGAGATCACGCCACTGCACTCCAGCCCGGGTGACAGAGTGAGACTCTGTCTCAAAAAAAAATGAAAAGAAAGATTGGGGTTTGGAAAGCAGACTTGGGTTCAAATCCAAGCTAAGTCACGTCTGTGACCTTGGACAAACCCCTTCACCTCTGTGAACCTTGGTTTCCTTATCCTAAAGTAGGTGCAACAAAACCTACCTCCCAGTGCATTCTTAAAATAACAGGAGCACAGACATCACATAAAAAGTGTCTAGAACATTGAGAATTTTCCATTGCTCAGGGTGGCTAACCTTTGATTAGCTCCAAGATGCCTGGAGGGGTGGGGGCAGAATGAAATGGCCTGAGTCCCAAGCCCTGGACTGGGCAGGCTCCAGCACGGCCAGGTAACTGAGGATAGGCTGTATCTAAGATGACACTCACTCACACAGGGCACACAGAGGCCCCAGCTCCTGCTGTGTGGCCTCACTGAGGCCAATACTCCAAGTTATGCACCCAGCTCCCTTGCCCCTTCACCCACACACATTCTGAGAGACACCATTTCTGGCTCTGCACACTGGCTGACATTGACCCCTGCTAATTAGGAGTTCTCTTGGCCTCGGCCTCTGCACACTGGCTGACATTGACCCCTGGCTAATTAGGAGTTCTCTTGGCCTCGGCCTCTTGCCTCTCCTGGTTCTCAGTCCTTCCTCTCATCCTCCCTGGTCACAGCTGGCCCTTTCCTCAGGCCCCATCTAGGGCTGCTTTCACTCCCCTTTAGTCTCAATTCCCAAGCTGGACTTCTGAGGCAGATTGGCAGCAACTTCTTGGAGGTAGGGGCACATCCTGTTTGCTTTTTTGCTTTTTGCTGTCCCTCTAAGCCCTCTAAGATATGGGACCCACATTTATTGACCATCGCCTAGGTGTACTCCATGGAAACCCTGAAAGATGCCTGTAATACAAGGTCCCATTTCACTGTACTACGGGCACTAAGACCCCCTGTAGGGAAGGGGTCTACAGGGCTCACACATGAGTCTTCTGACCCAAGCTCCTCTCTACAGCCTCCCTCACAGAATTAAACATCCCCTTCCCTTAATACTAAACAAATCTATCCTTATTTGTAGGTCTTCCTGGAACAGCGTTTATAATTGCATTCAATGAAAACATTTTAAATGAATCTAATTCTTAATAGTTTGGAAACATGGAACATCTGCTTTGTCTGAGCAGCCGAATCTTCTGATTAAAACAATGATAAACTCTTTCCCTCACCCCTTCAGACTGTGGCCTCCTTGAGGGCAGGGGCTATGCATTGTTCCATTCAGTACCCACTGCAGCCTGGCACAGAACAGTGATCAGTAGCAGATTAAATCATTAAATCACTATCCACCTCACTCCAACAATTGCCTCCTCTCTACCACCCCCACCCTTCATTCTCTCCATTCCCTCCATCATTAAATGAGCTCAGATACAACTATTTAAAAAATAATAATAATTGGTCCAGGCGCAGTGGCTCATGCCTGTAATCCCAGCATTTTGGGAGACCAAGGCGGGTGGATCACTTGAGGTCAGCAGTTCGAAACCACCCTGGCCAACATGGTGCAGCCCTGTCTCTAGCAAAAACACAAAAATTAGCCAGGTGTGGTGGTGCGTGCCTGTAATCCCAGCTACTCAGGAGGCTGACGTAGGAGAACTACTTGAACCCAGGAGGCAGAGGTTGCAGTGAGCCGAGATTGTGCCACTGCACTCCAGCCTGGGCAATAGAGCGAGACTCCGTCTCAAAAAATAATAATAATAATAAAAACAATTTGTACTTCTGCTTCTAACCCAGCTAAAGTAAGAGGAATCTAGTTTGCCAATCAGAATTTATTCATGGAATAACCAAATAAAAAAATGAGCAAAATATATGGAGCAATGGTTTTTCAAGACATTGGAGAGAAGGCAATGAAGGACAGTGATTCCAGAGGCTAAGATCAAACAAGGCAAGCCCTACAATTTCTTCAGCTGTCTTTCTTCCCAAGGTGACACAGGAGGCAGAGTCTAGCAGATGTCCTGAGTTGCAGATTTGGAGCTCAGAGTCTAGAGACAAAGGCTGCCAGAGTTCACAGGACAGAGTACCAGAGAAGAGTGATGGGCACAGAGAAAGACACCTGGCGAGCTTTCAGAAACTCCCACTCAAGTGTTCAGCAGAGTGTGAGCAAACGCCCCAAAGCCAGGAGAAGAATCATCCAAAAGATTTGAAGGAATAGTATCTGGTACTCTCAAGAACAGTGACTGTTTTCAAACCCTCATGATTCACAGGACATTGGGTAGAGTATGTAGAAAGGTCCTGCCTCAGTAGTAGTAGCTCTGTCCTGCCTAGCCAATAGTAAAAACAAGACCCAAAAGGATCAGACTATTTCCACATAACTGCATTCCAGAATAAAGCCCAAGGATATTTCTACGAATGCAAAAATATCCATCACAATGTCTGGAATCCAATCAAAACTGATTAGGTATGTAGAGAAGCAGGAAAAAAATTTACCCATGTGAAGAAAAAAATCAATCGATCAAAATCAAACCACAACTGAAACAGATGTTGGAATTAGAAGACAAAGATATTAAAACAGTCATTATAACTACATGCCGTATGTTCAAACGTTAAGTAGAGACATGGAAGATTTAAAATAAGATGCAAATCAAGCTTCTAGAGATGAAAAGTACAATATGTGAGATTTAAAAAATAAACTGAATTGGATTAATGTCAAATTTGATACAGCAGGAAAAAATTAGCAAATTTAAATACATGGAAAAAGAAACTATCCAAAGTTAAATACAGACAGAAAAATAATCAAAAAAGAGAAAAGAAGAAAGAAAGTAATACTGGTGAGCAATGGGACAACTTCAAGTGGTCTAACATATGTGTAACTGGAGTCCCAGAGGGGAGGAGAGTGGGAGGAAACAGAAAAAATATTTATAGAAATAATTCATGAAAAATTTCAAATTTGACAAAAACCATAAATGCACAGATGCAAAAATTTTAAGAAATCATAAGCACAAGAAACATGAAGAAAAATACATCAAGACACATTATAATCAAAATGCTCAAAATCAAGATAAAGAGAAAATCTTAAAGGCAGCCAGAGAAATATATTATGTTCAGAGGAACAAGGATAAGGATGACAGTAAATTTCTTATCAGAAACAATACAAATAGAAGACAATGGAGAAACATCTTTAGTATTGAAAGAGAGAAAAACTATCAACCTAGATTTTTATACCATGAAAAAAAATCTTTCAAAAATGATGGTGGAGGAGAACGGCAGAGTAGACAGCTCCAAGTTCTAATCTTCCTACAGAAACATTCAAAAAATGAACAAATAAAAAAAGCAGAAACTGCCAGAGCCAACTTTGTCAAAACTCTGGAAAACAGTCAAAGGTTTACAGCAACCAAGAGAACACTTAGTCAAGAAAAAGGCAACTTTAGGAAGGTATTGTGGCATTTTTACTTGCCCATGCCCCATCCCTCCCCCAGCATGATGTTATGTTGAAGTGGTACCATCTTGAAGTGCCATCCCATGTTCCCAATATAAGACCTTCATCTCTAGTTCTAGAGGGAGCAGAGCAGATATTATTCACAAATTATTGTGACTATCTGTTATAGGCTGTCTGAGGGATACCTGAAGGATTGATACAAGACACTCTTCTATGTTCCCCCTAACTTGGAACTTAGACCAAAAAGTGACAGGCATTACTCACAACATTGCAAAGCAAACTAACAACTCAAAGACACTTGGGACAAAAGACACAGTTGAGACATACAATAGACTGCCTAAGACCTGTGAGGAATAGCTTGGAACATTCTTTGGGAAAGTGGTACACTCAAAAGTACCTATTTATACTGAGGAATTTAGAAAGCTACATTAGGCATAGGGCAAGATGCATGCTAAGAAAAGAAATAAGAAGACCCTAAGCTTTCTCTAGGCACACTAATCTCTTTTTGTTTGTTTGTTTGTTTGTTTTTGTTTTTTATTATTATTATACTTTAAGTTTTAGGGTACATGTGCACAATGTGCAGGTTAGCTACATATGTATACATGTGACATGCTGGTGTGCTACACCCATTAACTCAACATTTAGCATTAGGTATATCTCCTAATGCTATCCCTCCCCACTCCCCCCACCCCACAACAGTCCCCAGAGTGTGATGTTCCCCTTCCTCTGTCCATGTGTTCTCATTGTTCAATTCCCACCTATGAGTGAGAACATGCGGTGTTTGGTTTTTTGCCCTTGCGATAGTTTACTGAGAATGATGATTTCCAATTTCATCCATGTCCCTACAAAGGACATGAACTCATCATTTTTTATGGCTGCATAGTATTCCATGGTGTATATGTGCCACATTTTCTTAATCCAGTCTATCATTGTTGGACATTTGGGTTGGTTCCAAGTCTTTGCTATTGTGAATAGTGCTGCAATAAACATACGTCTGCATGTGTCTTTATAGCAGCATGATTTATAGTCCTTTGGGTATATACCCAGTAATGGGATGGCTGGGTCAAATGGTAATTCTAGTTCTAGATCCCTGAGGAATCTCCACACTGACTTCCACAATGGTTGAACTAGTTTACAGTCCCACCAACAGTGTAAAAGTGTTCCTATTTCTCCACATCCTCTCCAGCACCTGTTGTTTCCTGACTTTTTAATGATTGCCATTCTAACTGGTGTGAGGTAGTATCTCATTGTGGTTTTGATTTGCATTTCTCTGATGGCCAGTGATGGTGAGCATTTTTTCATGTGTTTTTTGGCTGCATAAATGTCTTCTTTTGAGAAGTGTCTGTTCATATCCTTCGCCCACTTTTTGATGGGGTTGTTTGTTTTTTCTTGTAAATTTGTTTGAGTTCATTGTAGATTCTGGATATTAGCCCTTTGTCAGATGAGTAGGTTGCAAAAATTTTCTCCCATTCTGTAGGTTGCCTGTTCACTCTCATGGTAGTTTCTTTTGCTGTGCAGAAGCTCTTTAGTTTAATTAGATCCCATTTGTCAATTTTGGCTTTTGTTGCCATTGCTTTTGGTGTTTTAGACATGAAGTCCTTGCCCATGCCTATGTCCTGAATGGTAATGCCTAGGTTTTCTTCTAGGGTTTTTATGGTTGTAGGTCTAATGTTTAAGTATTTAATCCATCTTGAATTAATTTTTGTATAAGGTGTAAGGAAGGGATCCAGTTTCAGCTTTCTACATATGGCTAGCCAGTTTTCCCAGCACCATTTATTAAATAGGGAATCCTTTCCCCATTGCTTGTTTTTCTCAGGTTTGTCAAAGATCCGATAGTTGTAGATATGCGGCATTATTTCTGAGGGCTCTGTTCTGTTCCAGATCTGTATCTCTGTTTTGGTACCAGTACCATGCTGTTTTGGTGACTGTAGCCTTGTAGTATAGTTTGAAGTCAGATAGCGTGATGCCTCCAGCTTTGTTCTTTTGGCTTAGGATTGACTTGGCAAGGCGGGCTCTTTTTTGGTTCCATATGAACTTTAAACTAGTTTTTTCCAATACTGTGAAGAAAGTCATTGGTAGCTTGATGGAGATGGCATTGAATCTATAAATTACCTTGGGCAGTATGGCCATTTTCATGATATTGATTCTTCCTACCCATGAGCATGGAATGTTCTTCCATTTCTTTGTATCCTCTTTTATTTCATTGAGCAGTGGTTTGTAGTTCTCCTTGAAGAGGTCCTTCACGTCCCTTGTAAGTTAGATTCCTAGGTATTTTATTCTCTTTGAAGCAATTGTGAATGGGAGTTCACTCATGATTTGGCTCTCTGTTTGTCTGTTATTGGTGTATAAGAATGCTTGTGATTTTTGTACATTGATTTTGTATCCTGAGACTTTGCTGAAGTTGCTTATCAGCTTAAGGAGATTTTGGGCTGAGACAATGGGGTTTTCTAGATATACAATCATGTCATCTGCAAACAGGGACAATTTGACTTCCTCTTTTCCTAATTGAATACCCTTTATTTCCTTCTCCTGCCTAATTGCCCTGGCCAGAACTTCCAACACTATGTTGAATAGGAGTGGTGAGAGAGGGCATCCCTGTCTTGTAGGCACACTAATCTCTAGGCACAATGCCAGCCTGGCTAAGTGTTGAAGGATTTCCCTAGCACAGAGAAATCTGCAAAGACTGAGAGAGATGTTTGGGGTATTTTTGTTTTTCTTATTTGTTTGTTGTTGTTGTTTTGTTTTTAGCTCATGGCATTCAAGGAATTATCTGTCAAAACATTAGCCAAACACAGGCTAAAGGATCAGAGACTTCAGTGATCACACAAGACAATGAATACAATCTTTGAGAAAGTTACTAAACAAAGAAGTATACACCCTTCAACAACTAAAAAAAAACAGCAGCCTCTGGGGAAGGAAGACAATATGTTTTCTAGAGTTAACACATTATAATATTCAGAAGTCCTTTTTTAAAAAAGGACACAAAGAAACAAGAAAACATGGCCCATTCAAAGGAACAAAGTAAATTTACACAAACCATGCCTAAGGAAGCCCAGGCATCAGACTTACTAGATAACAACTTTAAAACAACTGTCTTAAATATGCTGAAAGTGGTAAAGGAAGACATGGACAAAGAACTAAAGAAAATTGGGGAAATTATACATAAACAAAATGAGAAAATCAATAAAAAGATTAACATTAATTTTTAAAAGAAGCAAACAGAAATTCTGGGGCTAAAAAGTACAATAACAAAATGAAAAATTCATTAGGGGGTTAAAGAGCAGATTTGAACAGACAGAAGACAGTGAACTTAAAGATAGGACAACTGAAATTATCAAGTCTGAGAATCAGAAAGAAAAGAGAAAGATGAAAAGTGAACAGAACCTAAATGACCTATGAGATACCATCAAGCAGACTAACATACTCATTATGAGTGTTCCAGAAGGAGAAGAGAGAGATAAAGGGGAAGAAGAATATTTGAAGAAATAGTGGCTAAAAACTTCCCAAATTTGATGAAAGACATGAAATTAAAATCCAAAGAGTTCAGTGAACTCCAAGTAAGATAAACTCAGAGACCCATACAGAGATCCTTTATAATCAAACTACTGAAAGACAAAGACAAAGAAAGAATCTTAAAGGCATAAAGAAAGAAGGAACTTGTCATGTACAAGGGATTCCCAATGCATTGGTTTACTGGGAGTGTCATAACAGAATACCACAAATTGGGTGGCTTGAGCAATAGAAATGATTTGTCTCACAGTCTGGAAGATAGAAATCTGAAATGGAGGTGTCAGTAAGGCTGGTTCCTTGTAAGGACTTTGAGAGAAGGATTTGTTACAAGCCTATCTCTTTGGCTTATAGATTGCCATCTTCTCCCTATGTCTCTTCACACAATCTTCCCTCTATATATGTTTATCTCAGTGACCAAATTTTCCCATTCTATAGGGATGCAAGTCATATTGGATTAGGGCCCACCCTAATGAATTCATCTTAACCAATTATATCAGCAATGACTCTATCTCCAAATAAGTTCACAAGTTCACATTCTGAAGTACTGTGTGTCAGGACTTCAACATATGAATTTTTTGAGACACAATTCAACACTTGATACTCAATACGACTTTTTTTTTTTTTTTGGAGATGGGGGTCTCACTTTGTCACCCAGGCTGGAGCGCAGTGGCACAATCTTAGCTCACTGCAACCTCTGCCTCTTGGGTTCAAGCGATTCTCATGCCTCAGCCTCTAGAGTGGCGCCCACCACCACACCTAGCAAATTTTTGTAGTTTTAGTAGAGACGGGGTTTCACCATATTGGCCAATCTGGTCTCAAACTCCTGACCTCAAGTGTCCCACCTGCCTCAACCTCCCAAAGTGCTGGGATTACAGGCGTGAGCCACCGCACCCAGCCATCAATAAGATTCGACATCCAATTTGTCATCAGAAATCAAGGCAGAAAGCAGTGGGACGACATATTTCAAGTGCTGGAAAAAAAAAACTAAAAAACTCAAGAGTTCTAAATCCAGCAATACTGTCCTTTTTCAAAAGAGAGAGCCATTGTGTTAAATGAAAAAAGCCAGTCACCAAGGACAAATATTGTATGATTCTGCTTATCTAAGATACCTAAAGTCATCAAAATCATAGAGACAGAAAGTAGGATGGTGGTTTCCAAGAGCCGGGGGGAGAGGAAAATGGAGAGTTATTGTTTAACAGGTACAGAGTTTCAGTTTGGGAAGATTAAAATGTTCTCAAGATGGAGGGTGGTGAAGGCTGCACAGCAATATGAATGTACTTAAGGCCACTGAACAATACACTTAAAAATAGTTTAAAATGTAGAGTTTAGGTTATATAAATTTTACCACAACTTTTAAAAAGAGAAATTAAGATATGCTTAGATAAACAAAAGCTGAGTGCATTTCTTACCACTAGATCTTCTCTGTAAGAAATGCCAAAGGGAGCCCTTCAGATTGAAATGAAAGGACACTACACATTAACTCAAAGCTGCATGAAGGAATAAATGCAAAGGTAACTACACGGGCAAACATAAAAGCCATTCTTGAATTTTTAGTTTATAACTCTACTTTTATTTTTTACATAATTTAAAAAACACATGCATTTTTAATTATAAATCTATTTTAATTGGCACATAATTGACAAAGATGTGATTTGTCATAATAACATAAACAAGGAAATAAAGCTATATAGGAGCATAGTTGTGTATGCTGTTGAAGTTGGTATCAGTTCTAATTAGATTGTTATAAATTTAGGATGTTAAGTGTAATCCTGAGGGTAACCACAAAGAAAATATCCAAGGAATATACACAAAAGGAAATTAAAAGGGAATCAAAGTGTTTCACTACCAAAAAAAATCAACTAAACACAAAAGAAGCCATTAATAGAGAAAATGAGGGACAAAAAAGTAATTAACAGACATACTGAAAACAAATAGTAAAATGGTACAAGTAAGTATATTCTTATCAATAATTACTTTAAATGTAAATGGGTTAAACTATAAATAGTAAAATGGCAGAAGTAAGTATATTCTTATCAATAATTATTTTAAATGTAAATGGGTTAAACTATAAACAGTAAAATGGCCAAAGTAAGTATATTCTTATCAATAATAACTTTAAATGTAAATGTGTTAAACTATAAATAGTAAAGTTGCAAAAGTAAGTATATTCTTATCAATAACTACTTTAAATGTAAATGGGTTAAACTCTCCAACCAAAGACAGGGGCTGGAGTAATAAATTTTACAAAACATGATTCAAGGTAAATGACTCATTTTACATCCAAAGATATAAGTAGCTCAAAAGTGAAAGGATGGAAAAAGATATTCCAGACAAATCATAATCAAAAAAGAAGTGGGGTGGCTATAATACTATTTTTTAAATTGACTGTAAGTCAAAACTGTAAGAAGAGATAAAGTTTCATTGTACATAAATTTTAAAGGGTCAATCCAGTGACCTGGGTTTCTACTTTAAGAATTTGTCTTAAGAAGACCAAATTAAACCCAAAGTAAATAGAATAAAGGAAATAATAAATATCAAAGCAAAAAAAATGATAAAATAGAAAACAGAAAAACAATAGGAAAATCAAGGAAACCAAAAGCTGGCTTTTCTTCAAAGATCAATAGTATTAATAAACCTCTAGCCACACTGATCAAGATAAAACAAAAAGACATAAATTACCAATATCAGAAATAAAAGAGATGATATTACTACAGATACTACAGGTATTAAAAAGATAATAAGGACATATTATGAATAAGAATAAACTCATCAGCATAGATAGAATGGACCAATTCCTTGAAAGACACAAACTACTAATGCTCACTCAAGAAGAAACAGATAACCTGACTAGCCTTATTATCTATGAAGGAAATGGAATTTGAAGTTAAGAACTATCCAACATGGAAAACTCTAGGCCCTGATGGCCTCACTGATGAATTCTACCACATGTTTAAGAAAGAAATGATACCAATTCTACATAGCTTCTCCAGAAAACTGTAAAGGAATGAATACTTCCCAATTTGTTCTATTAGGACAAAATTACCACCATAACAAAACCAAAGACGTTACAAGAAATAATAATAACAAACCACATGTGTAATGGACTGAATGTTTGTGTTCCCCCAAAATTCACATGTTGAAGTACTACCCCTAATGTGATGGTATCAGGAGGTGGGATCTTTGGAAGGAAATTGGGTCATGAGGGTGGAGCTCTCATGAATGTTATGAATTCTTTATAAAAGGAACCCTAGAGAGCTCTCTTGCCCTCTTTCCACCATGGAAAGGTACCACAAGAAGTCAGCAGTCTACAACTCAGAAGAGGGCCCTCATCAGTGCTGGACCATATTGGTATCCCCCTCAGACCTCCAGCCTCCAGAACTGTAAGAAATCAATTTCTGTTACTGATAAGCTTCCAGTTGACAGTACTTTGTTATAGCAGCCTTATAAACGAAGATAACCTGCCAATATCCCTCATGAATTTAGATGCAAAAACTTTAGCAAATCAAATCCAACAATATATAAAAATGATAATACATCACGACTAAGTAAGATTTAACATTTAACTTAACATTTGCAATCAAATCACCATATCACCAAGCCCAAAAAGAAACACATATGATCATCTCATTGAACATGGTAAAGGCATTTGACTATTCCGAAATCAATCCTAATAAAAATTCTCAGCAAACTAGGCATAGAAAGGAACTTCTTGATTTGATAAAGAACATTTATAAAAACCTACAGCTAACATCATATTTAGTGTTGAAAGACTGAATAGGATGGTTTCCTCCTAAGATCAGAAAAAAGGATGTTCACTGTCATCACTTCTAACATTTTACAAGAATTTCCAGCCATTGCAATAAAGTAAGAAAATGAAATAAAAATCATCCAAATTGGGAAAAAGCAAAACTGTCTTTCTTCACAGGTGACATTATCATTTACTTAGAAAATTTGATGGAATCTACCCTTTAAAAAAAGGCACTAAAACCAATAAGTAAGTTTAGCAACATTGCTAGATATTAATATACAGGCTGGGTGCAGCAGCTCATGCCTCTAATCTCAGTGCTTTGGGAGCGACAGACAAGAGATCACTTGAGGCCAGGAGTTTGAGACCAGCCTGGGCAACATAACAAGATCTCATCTCTTCCACAAATTTAAAAATTAGCCAGGCATAGTGGTGCACATCTTTACTCGCAGCTACCCAGGAGGCTGAGATGGGAAGATTGCTTGAGCCCAGGAGGTCAAGGCTACAGTGAGCTATGATTGTGCTCCAGCCTGGGCAACAGAGCTAGACCCTGTCTCTAAAAATAAATTCAAATAAAATTAAAGATCAATATATAAAACTCAATTGTATATTACAAATTTAAAATTTTAAAAATATGATTCACAATAGCATCAAAAATAGAGTATTTAGGGACTAGTCTGACAAAATTTCCACCATGACAACTTATCCTTCATCTTCTCCCTCCTCTACTTGCTGCTCCTTCAATGATTCCTTGTTCTTCATTTCAGGAGCACAGTCAATGCCAAACTCAACAAGCTCCTCAGTATGGCCAGTAGATTCAGAATAGCAATGGTATCACTTGCAAAGAGAGTTTTAATAGTTAACATGGAGACATTCATTATGGAGAACCCTTGTGAAAGCAGGAGGAGCAAAGCCCTCCTAAGTCATTGTAGCAGGGGCTGAGTGGCTTCCACCTCTCCTCCCTTCATTTATTTTACAAAAGCTTTCATCATGCCTTTCCCTATGGAATCAAGCCCAGACTCTTCAGCACAGCTTTCAAGGCCATGACCTGGCCCCCTACCTACTTTTCCAATGTTCTTTCCCCTAACCTCCTTTCACTGACCCTTTCTGCCAGCTAACTGGATTCACTGCTCCCCATACCTCCTCTATAGTTTCCCCTGTCAGTGCATAACATATCCATGTATTTTCTCTCCCCCATTTTCCCTTCCTCCTTCTTTCCTTTTATAGCTCATTCTCCAGCCTCGATTACTCTTCCTTCTGCTCACATCCAAATCCTTCTCAACCCTTACAGACAGGCTGAAAATACCTGCTTTTCTAAGAAGCGCTCCCTGATTCTACCAACCATGGGGATCACCCTTCCTCTGAACCTCGCCTGGAGCCAGGGGCATTTTCCCTTTGGGACTTGTTCCTTGTCTAATTCCTGTACTGACTGAGAATGCAATAGGGAGGGGGCAGAGCCTACATCTGGCTCATCTATACAACCCAAAGCACCTCCATCAGGGCCTGGCACAGCAAAAGAAACCATTGGTAAGTGTTGGAAGAGGGGGGAGGAAGTGGCTTCATCTGGAAAAAGGAAGGAAATGGAACACTTGGATAAAGAGAGGCAAGAAATGGTGTGGTGAGGGAAAGGCATCTTTCATTTACTTCCTGCCTGACGCTGAGCTGCTGGGATTGCAGAGGAGATTGAGGTGCACAGCAGAGCTGCACCTATTGCAGCCAGTGGCTGCAGAGGGGTTATGGGGTACAGCAAGGTGGGCTGGCTCTTCAGGGAGAATTTCTCACCAGAGCTGTCCTGGGCTAGAGGAAAACTGTAACATTTCTGCTGCCTCATCTACCCTTCTCTCCTACCCACTGGGCAGGCGGTTGTGCCTAACCTTGGCTTATTTGGAGTTCATCTGAAAATCAGCATGGGGAACTATGGCCAAAAGCAACTTTGTTGTTCATGAGATCTTCCAAATTCAGGAGAGCCATGCCCAACAGTTACAGAAAGGAAGCAGGTGCTCTGGGCTCCTGTTGCCCACAGACCCATGGCCTGAGGCCTAGGACAGTAGTCCTAGGCCTTCATTGGGCATCAGGATCAGCTGGGGAGGTTTTTTAAAATGTAGATGCCCATGTCCCATCTCCAGAAATGCAATTTCAATTGATCAGAGCTTGAGCACACTTTAAAAGCTCTCCCAGATGATTCTGCTGGGCAGCCAGGTTGAGACCCTGGCCTGGGAAGGACTCCTTCCTCCAGCCCACAGTTGTTCTAGGATGGGGGTAGAGCACTGCTCAGGGAGGGGGCCTCCTGCCTTCTGTAAGGTCTGCTTAAATGCCACTCCTTCCCATACTCCTCAGTGGAAAGCACAATAGCCCAGTGGTTAGGTTCAGACAGACACTGGCATCCAGTCATCTGGGTTTGCATCCCCATCCCACAGAGTGGCGCCTTGGACAAGTGATTCCACCACTTAGAACCTTGGTTTGCTCATCTGCAAACTGGGAAGACCATTCTCAGCTTGCATGGCTACTGGAAGAATGAAATGGGAAAGTGAATTCATGAAGCCCCTGCAAATCCTAGCATACAGCAGATGTTCAAGCAGTGCCCTCCTGCTCCCATCCCAGCCTCCAAAGGTAGAGGCAGGAGGCTTGGGTGTCCCTCTCTCTCCCTGGGTGACTTGGGCAAATCATTGGACCTCTCTGGGCCTCAGTTGCCTCATCTGTAAAATGCAGAAAACCACAGCAGGAGCCGAGCCTTTGTTTTCTTCACTCCACCAGGGAAATCAGAGGCAGGGAGTTTTCAGAGCACAGCCCTTCCATGGATCCAGGTGCCGGCTGAGCCTGTCCTCACAGGGGATCCGTGGTCCATCTCAGGGAACAGTTCAAAGAGTGCAATTCCCCAGCAAGCTCTTGAATCCTCATCAGCCCAGGAAAAAAAGGGGCTGTACTGGAGCAAGTTTGCATGTAAGTAAAGAGCGACCATGAGCAGCAAGACCATTTAAGCATGGCAGTACCCAAGGGTGGGCACGGAGGGCTCTTCCCAGGGAGTTACAGAGAGTGCTGGCCTCTATCACTAGACACCCCCTAAATTCAGGGATTGTGGCCCTTCCCTGGGGGCTCCCCTCCCACATCCTCTGAGCCCCCCACTGCCATGGCCCAAGGTCAGCCATTATCTCCCTCCTAGATGTCCACACCAGCCCTGCCTCCAACCCATTCTCCACCCTCAGCAGAGAAACCCTCCAAGAGTCATGTCTGTCCATGTCACTCTTGCCACATGTCACTCTGAAGCCAATCAGCAGCAACCCACTTGGCTCACAGTCAAGGCTAACCTCTCCCCGGTGGCATAAGGACCCTTCACAGTCAGGGCCAGGCCTCTGCCCACCAGTGCACCCTTACCCCTGCCATCCCCTACACCTTCTGAACTGCTCTCACTTCCTCTAAGACACCAGCCCCCTACCCTAGGCACCTATCTGCCTGTCCATGTGCCCTCATGGCCTGGAATGCCCTCCCTGCCCTGCTGTGTGCCTGGCCAACTCCTCCAGCTCATCCTCCAAGGCTCTGCTTTGGCACCATCTCCTCCAGGTAGTCCTCCCTGGAGATTCCTCCCCACATAGGGTTAGGAGACTCTCCTCTGGAAAAGCCCAGCCCCCACACTATCCCTTCCTCTGTGCTATTTGCACAGGTTGGGGAGGGGGAAGGGAGGACTCAGACCTCCTCAAGATAGCACCCAGGCCTTTCACCTCATTCAGCTCCCCACATGTGGTGAGGGGCCCCAGTATCTAGCCCACTGCCTGGCTGGAAGGAAGGATTCAGCAGGACCAAGCAGATTTTAGTGAAACTGTCCTGCTAGAGAAGGAGGGCCTGGCATCAGGCACTTGGTTGGAAAGAGCTGTGGCTGGGTAGCTTGCCCACATGACACACACACACACACCTGCCCTTACACACACATGCACACACACACCTACCCTTACACATGCATACACATATGCAAATAAGGTGTGTACCTGCATACACATATCTGCCCTCACACACACACCTGCACATACAACCTGCCCTTACACACACATCTGTATATACACATCTGCCCTCACACACAACAGCAAATACACACCTGCCCTCATACACACACCTCCATATACACACTGCCCTTGCACACACACCTGCATACACACATCTGCCCTAATACACACACCTGTATATACACATCTGCCCTCACATACAAACCTGCATATACACACCTGTCCTCTCACACACATCTGCACATACACACCTGCCCTCACACACCTGTATATACACACCTGCCCTCACACATCTGCATATACACATCTGCCCTCATACATGCACCTGCATATACACACCTGCCCTCTCACACACACCAGCCCATACACACCTGCCCTCACATACACCTGCATATATACACACCTGCCCTCATACACACACCTGCATATACATACCTGCCCTCACACATACCAGCACCTACACACCTGCCCTCATACGCCTGCATATACACACCTGCCCTCATGCACACACCTGCATACACACATCTGCTCTCACACACATACCTACACATACACACCTGCCCTCATACACACACCTGCATATATACACCTGTCTTCAATCTGCCTTCACACACACACCTGCACACAACACATCTGCCATCACACACACTTGCACACACATTCACCCCTACACACACACAGCCCACCCTTGTCTGGTCATTGCTGCATTTTCAATTACAAATGGAGGCTCCTCTAGCAGCTCAGCCACCTCCTAATCAGGCTCTGATTCACTGAAGCACACAGGAACTGAGAGGTTCCATCTCCAAGCCGTGGAGACTACAAATGCTCCTCTGTGAACAAAACCAGAGCACCAGCTCGCAGGACACACCCACTTCCACCACTGCTGAGCTGGGGGCTGCCCTACCACTGCGGAGTTGAACCAGCTCTTCTGCCAGCTCCCAGGTGGGGGCCAACAAAGCTGCTGTGCTCCATCACACAGCCAGGCCTCTCAGAGCAGACCCCAAAGCAGCGAATGTGGGCCTGCCAGGCCACAGGCTCTCAGTATGGCAGTCAAGGCAGGCAGAAAAGCTAAGAGAGCGCCCTCAGTAAACGTGGATGCTGTGGGGAAGGCCACAATGCCATCCACTGTCAGGAGCCAAAATCCCAGGTCAGAGTCTGAGGACGGGGCATAGGGTCGCAGCAGAGGGAGATGGCAGAGTGGGCAGTGGGCACTGTGGTATAGGGGAAGAAAATTGGGCTGTGGCCACTCAGGTCTGGCTCTACCCTGGTCTGCAGAGTGGTTCAGGACAGCCTTGTCACCTCTCGAGCCTCCATGTCAAGACCTAAACCATGGGGACAACAGTAATGGGGTTGCTGGAAGGTACGAGACCATGCCATGCCTCTCCAGCCCACAGGTGGACAGTCCTCCCTCCACAGTGAGGCAGTCAAGAAGAGGAGAGGAGCGAGCCCCCCAACCCACCCCCCATGGCCAGGGACCTTTGCCTCTACCCCTCCTCAGCCCAGGGAAAGCATCCAGAGTGTCCCTGCAAACACCACACCAGCACCAGTAGTGTCAGACTCCACAGCCTATGAGGCCCTGCTTCCCCTGAGCCAGGTGAACATCAGTTGACAGCGATGGCTCTGAAGCCAGACACCCTCTCCCGCCTCTGTCTCAGGCTGCTAGCAGGGACTTCCTGGATGGCATGCTGAGGATCGCCCTGCACATGACACTCATGGTGAAGCCCTGTGGTGACATGCTTGCCTAAACCAAATGTGACATTCTTAATGACCCACAAAGAGGATGCAGCCAGGGAGACTCCAGCCACCGCCTGTCACAGAAACAAAAGGCGCAGCTTCTCATCAACATGCTGTTTAAATGCCCCAGCCCAGGGCCCCTGCCGACTGGGTCAACAACACAGGAACCCTGTGCCACCTCCAAGAGACCAGCACTGTGCCCACCACCTGGCCTGCAGTAATAATAACCATATGTCAGCACGCCCACACAGGGCTTCCAGGATGCCAGACACTGCTCTGAGATATGTACCGGAGATGAGGGCGCAGCTGTAGGTGCTGGTGTTGGCATGGCTGTAGGTCTAGGAATAGGTACAGATTAGATGTAGGAATAGGAATAGGAGTAGAAATAGGTCAAGGCATAGATTCGATATATGGTAAGTCCTTACTTAACATCACTGATAGGACTTTAAGTGAAACAATGTATAATGGAAACCAAATTTTTTTCTCATCAACATTGTAATGAAAAGACGTTTGAGCAAAACCGTATTTGAGAACCTGCTGTACATTGTTTTGCTTAAAGTTTCCAATAACTTATCAACAACATTAAGCAAGAACTTATTGTAGATGTGGGTTTAGGTCTAGAAATTGGTATAAGTATAGGTGAGATGTAGATACAGATATAGATTTAAATTAGATGTCGGGATAGGGATAGGGATGGGGATAGGGATACGTTAGATGTAGGCTGTAGGTGTAGGTATAAGTAGAGGTTAGAGGTAGCCTGTAGGTATAGGTATAGGTAGAGAGAGGTATAGATGAGGCATAGATATAGGTGCATAGGTATATAGAAGTGTAGATGTATAGTTATAGGATCATCTTGTTCCTCACCACAACCCTATAAAGGGACAGATATTTACAGATGAGGAAACAAGCATGACGGTGAGCCTGGACCAACCCAGCACTGACCTGAGTGCTGTGCCTTTATTGAGGACCCAGGAAGGACGCCTGAGGGAGCAGCCTGTGTCTCCGTGGGTGGAGATGAGACCATCTCCATGGCTCCTTCGTCAGCAAAAGATTCCACACTTGGGCATCTTTCCCTTCCCTGCCTTTTTACTAGGTTTGGGGGAACCACCATGGGCTCCACGAATTCCCTGCGTCCTCCCACGAGTGAGGCCACGAGAAGCCAGGCAGGAATTTGCAGTACAGGATGCGCTCCACAAATGGCTTCTCCGTGGCATCACGAGGCAGATAGGAAACACTTCTCAGTGGCTCAGCAAATTGTCAAGATCCTGGAATCAGGTCAGATAGAGGCAGGATTTCATCATAGTCCTGCCCTGCCATGTGACCGTGAGGGAGTTACCTGCCTTCTGCACCTCACTTTCTCATCTGTAAAATGGGACAACAACGGTACCTACCCCAGGGGCAGAGCCTGACAGCTCTCCGCTCTGGGCGCCGGCAGGGTTGACAGCTATCTACTGTGAGTGGGAAGAAGTCAGCACCCATGCAGAAAACCAGAGGAGCAGAAATCAGGGCCCTCAAGACCCATCCCAGCAGAAAGCCCACTGTGGTATGACCACCACTGCCTGGGCACCTGCAAGATCCTGGGCCACAGACATGGCCACCTGGTGTTGCTCCTATGAGCCATGCTCTTATAGGCTGGTCAGGGAGGCAGACACGTGACTCCAGGCAGTTCCGTAGGGACTTGAGGAGCACAGCAGAGCAGGACCCTAAAGGCTGAGAAGGTGAGGTCCAGAAGGATGCACAGGACAGCTCTGGAGGCACGGAAGTAGATGGAATGCCTGGGCACAGGAGGTCCCGTGGGGAAGGAGCTGCAGGTGAGGCTGGGGTAGAAACAGGACCAGACAGAAAGCAACCTTGTCATATGAGAAGCCTGAACTGCAGTCCCCAAATTCCCCCCTGTATCCCTGAGGGACTGGAAGTTCCTCTGAGTCAGGTCATTGACTCAATTCTCTCGTAACTAAAAGTTGGGTGCCTACCTCAAAGCAAGAGATAATCAGGGGAGAGCCCTGGGCACCATTCCTGGTCCCAGTAACGCACCACTTAACTAAAAGCAGCTGCTGCTATTGTTTTACCAAGTGTCTTCTGCAACAGAGAAAAAAAATGAAAATGAACTACTGCACAGTGCTTGCACTGGCACCCTGGATCAAATGGGCTTGTGCACCAGGACCAGTCCTGACATCTCAATACTCAGGCCAACCTGCCACGTTGGGTCCTTACTTCCTAGCCCCAGCCCTGACCACAACCATCAGAGTCCACAGGAGAGGGCTGGTTGTGCCCCTCCACAGAGCCTTCCCTGAACAGGTGACCGCGTATCCTCGTTTGCCCAGCACAGCCGTTGCACCTGTTCTTTAGTGAAATTATTAATTTCACTTTAAAAAGTTTCACAGTTTAAATGGTTTCTCGGTGGTCAGCCTAACTTCTGAGCCACATGGTTTCAGCCCAAAATTCCTGTTGCCAGAGATTTTCTGTGGTTTCCTAGACACTCATATCTAGGATGGCAGAAGGTGGCTGGCATCAGGATCACTAGAGGATGTACCCACAAGACTCCAGGAAATTGCTCCTTAGCCAATAAGGGTCTCTTCCTCCAGCTCCACATGCTCCATGCAGGCCTAGCACCACCCTTCAAGCCTGCCCAGCCCCTGCCATGCTCTGCCTCCACCAAAGATGCTTGTTGCAGAGTTGTACCATTGCCTCCTGGGGAAAAGGCAGCAGGAAGATGCCAGGCTGCCCGGCAGAAGCTGAGTCTATGGGCACAAAGTGAGGGCAGAGACTCACATCTGCCCACCTGCCACATTCCCCACAAGTCAGGATCTCACTGGCCACGAACCTGTTCACCTGCGAGAGCAGAGTTCAGCAGCGAACACCAAGAGTCCCTCATGTCTCCTGAACAGTAACTCCTCAGCTGGAGCGTTCAGGCATGGCTGACCAAGAACATCCCCAGGGAGCCTGGGAGAGCCCACAGTCTCCAGTCTCCAGAGACAATAACGGCACCTGCTGTTTGGACAGTGTGTGATCAGTTACAGTTTTGAGGGAGGGGGTTCTCTCTGGCAATGTTCATTCAGCTTAATATGCCTACAAGTAAGGCTTTTAGGAAGCAACCACACTGCTATTCTAGAATGTGGTCAACATCCACTTCAGCAACTTGGTCTTCAGTTGACTCAGAAACCAGAAACAAGGTGGAACTCTGTGAGAACCCAGGAGTCCTGCTGAACAGCCGTGCTTGCCTCTCGGTTGCGTTCTGGGGGAAAAGTAGCTTAGTTATGTTGGAGCCTCCTCAAAGCAGCACCTGGGTCTCTGGGTTCCCTCTCAAACATCACCATTATCACCCCAAACCTCAAAGCGGCAGCACTCAAATTGCCAGATAATGTCAATCTGACAGTGGGTGGCCGTCACCTCTTCTTCAGTGTGCAGAGACGGCCAGAGCGCTTCTATGAGCAGGGCCGACTGGCTATGCCAGCCTCATGAACACAGCAGGCAGCGCAGGCACCAAGACACCCCACACAAGCATGGGGTGAAGGCTGCAGGAGAACAGAGGCCCCACCACTCCCCAGCACTTAGTGGCCTCCTGCTCAGCAATAGGACATGGCCCTGGACACAGCTCACCCCACCATGTCTGTCCAGGCTTCTATGTGAACAAAAATATGTGTAGACACCACTGTTCTGCCTCCCATGCCTCTTCTCCCACTGGGCCCCAAGAGCACAGTCACTAGAGCTACACACTTGAAAGATGGACTCAGAAGATCCCTGTCACTCAAGGTTGGCAGACCAATGGACCCCCAGTGCTGGTTGGGAGAGACACAGTGAGGCCCAAAGCATCCTCAACTCTCAAACTGTCTAATGAAGACCAATTAATGCCCAGGAACATCAGCCCCAGCCATGAAAAACAGAGGGCCCCAAGAAGCATGAAACTGAGTGAGGAAGAGGGGAAGGGCCTGGAGACCACTGCTGGCAAGGTCATCCCTCATGTCATTATCCTAATTGTGAATCCCTGAGAAACAGAACATCGGCCAGCTGAAGCAGTCATCACCCCTTCAGACCCCTCGGCTGCCCTTGGTGATTCAGCACAGGCCAAGCCAAGCTCTGCTACCTCAGCCTCTTCCACCTCTGCTTCCAGGGAACCCAGGATGCTGCCTCTCGGTGGCCCAGCCCCCATGCCCCCAACTGCCCCGTGCCACTCTCCTAACTGCAGTTGGCTTAATCTTTCTAAAATATGGCTCTGATCTCCCCAGCTCCTGCTTACCAAGCTCTAATGGCTCCTGTAGGGGGCAGCCACTCATCCATCCTGCCCAGCCTCCCACCCCGATTTTCTTTTGCAGAGCCTCCTCCCTCTACTCCTAGTCCATGACTTCTAGTGAGCTGGCCAGACACAGTGGCAGCCCACCCCAACGAAACAGAGTGTCCTACTCACCCCAGTTGGTTCAGGGATGGGCAGCCACCCCAGCTGGGCCAATACTATATCCTTAAAGCCTTTGCCTGAGCTTTCCAAACAGGGACTCTTACTTGTGCTGAGACTGTGGACACCAAAGACCAGACAAGCTGGAGTTGTGGTGGTTCCTCTTTGTCATTGGGTGGGAAGGACATTCCTAAGAGTCAAGCCAATGAGAGAAGAAGAGAAACAAGACACCGCGAGGGAGCAAGAAAGAGAAAGCAAGAGCAGAAGGCGTAACCGCTAGATCCAGCCATGCCTGAAGCTAGCCCATCCTTGGACCACTTTGTCATATAAGCTAAAACGAATTCCCTTTTTTACTTAAACAAGTTTAACTGGTATTTTTATCACTTTCAACAAACAGTCCTGATTAATACATCTCCTCATGCCTGCAAAAATAAGTGGACTCAATTATAGATAAATGAATAATTATCCTAAAACATGGAGCCTAATAAAACTAAGAGGAACTGCAAATTGCTCTTGTGAGCACTGAAGAGGCAGTGCCTCATTCTGGCTGAGAGCGTTGGGGTGCTCCTGGGGAGGACACATCAAAGCCATCATTTAAAAGATGTTCCCGGCCAGGTGCGGTGGCTCATACCTGTAATTCCAGCACTTTGGGAGGCCAAGGAGGCAGATCATTTGAGGCCAGGAGTTCGAGGATAGCCTGGCCAACATAGCAAAACTCCATCTCTACTAAAAATAAAAATAAAAAAATTAGCCAAGTGTGGTTGTGCACACCTATATTCCCACCTACTCAGGAGGCTGAGGCAGGAAAATTGCTTAAACCCAGGAGGCAGAGGTTTCAGTGAGCCAAGATCATGACACTGCACTCCAGCCTGGGCAACAGAGCAAGACTCTGTCTCAAAAATAAAATAAAATAAAATAAAATAAAATAAAATATGTTCCAGGTAAGAGAGCCACAAAGATAAAGCATGAAAGACCATGATATGTTTGGGAGAAATAGGAAGTAGTATGAACAATAAGGCAAGAGGCAGTTGTGGAAAGCCAAGAATGAGTCAGCTTGGATCATGAGGTGAGGGTCTTTTCCCGCTGTTAATGAACCTAGGCTTTGTTTAATAGACCAGCAAGAGAGAACACCTCCTCAGGCCACAATGCACCCCTGAAACCCAGGACAGAGAGCTGTCCTGGAGAGGAAGCGGCCCAGGGCAGCAGTGAGATTCTGACAGTCCAGGTCCCAGTCCCTGAAAGGCTCAAAGGGAGGAGCAGCAAAGCTCCAGGTCCCAAGAGCTTCCCAGGACCAGGACAGCTTGTGAAGATCCTGGAAGTCTGCGCTGCTCTGCTCCCAGCAGCTCTGAGCCCCCAGAGAGTGTGGCCACCATGGGCCACAGGCACAAGGCCCAGGGACAAAGCAGAGAAGGGGACCTGTGGCGGGGGGTGGAAAGCAGAGCCCAGAGGGCCTCCAGATCCACAGCGCGGTGCACAGAGCACACAACAAGAGGCAGGAAGGGGATGAGACCCCCACTTTCCATCCCCATTGACCTCCATCCCCACTGACTCCTCGCCCTAGCCTGGCCCTAGACTTTGGCCCAGAGACCGTGTTAGGACCAGGCTAGAGGAAGGGAAGCTGAGGAGCCCAGGGAAAGCAGAAATGAGTCACTCCCAGGGAAGGCACAGGCTGAGTGAGAGGGACTCCCCAACCCCGGGCAGTACCAGGCTCACCCCACAGCAGCCTCGCCAGTACCAGCCCTGCCTCAGCCCAGGGGCACAGCACAAGACTCTCACTCAGCCTTTGGGCTTCAGCACAGGCCATCCACCTCCAGGAAGCCCTCCAGACACCTTCTCCTGAATGTTGGGCTGCCCTGGGCTGCTGTCCCCAACACCACTCTCTCTGTTCATCTCAGCTGGTGCAAGATCACACAGCGCTAAGTCTCTGTTTCTGTGTTGGTTCCCCCACCAAACGGAGAGCTCCGTGGGAATGAGTACCACATCAGCTCATCTCCAAGGCTGATGCAAAGTGACCATTCCATCAATGCTAGCACCATGCCCTGAGCCCATGACACACGGACACAGCACAGCAAGGTCTGGGGCGGGGGCAGGTGGCAGCAATTCAACATGCGGCCCTGATCGAGGGGTTATCATGCCCACCTGACAGAGGAAATCAAGGGCAAGTTACCCAGCCAGGGCCCTTTGAGAAGGACTCAAACCCAGGCCAGTCTGATTCTCAAGCCAGGGCCTATTCCTCTCCTTCACTGTCATCATCACCTGGAGTCTGGGGCTGCCAGCCCTGGAAACCTGAGCAGAGGAGGCACTGGGGCCCACACACAGGGTCAGGGAAGCCCCTCCACAGACACCCTCCAGGTCAGGCCCACGACAGAGGCTGCAGGCTTGTGCAAGAAAAAGCACGCACGCCCCAGCACAGACTCAGGGGAACCTGACCAAGGGGAGAAGCCACAAGGGCGCCACCTCTAGGCTCTGCCTCCAGCCCTGCTTCCTGCTTTGGGAAGGATGGCACATCCGCAGGCCTCAGAGCTGCAGGAAGCTCTTCTTTGCTCACCTGCAAGCTTCATTTCAGGAGATTGTCAGGACTGACAGCAGCCAAGATGCACAGGGTGACATTTCCCTGTTGGGAAAATGGATTCCCCTTTTGCCCTGCAGCCACATGCCCTAGGGAAGCATCACCATGCCGGGAAGAAAGTCTCAGTTCTCAGGAAGAGCAGCTCCTACAGCAATTGTTGGTAAACTGGAGTTGAGCTCACAGATAAGCGTCGCCCCTGGCACCTCCTCTGGTCCCATGGAGCAAACAGCAATCTGCTGCCCTGAGGCTGGGGAGGGGTCCCCCTGTACCTCCCTTCACCCCTGCCTTCCTCCCTCTCTTCAGGGCCAAGGCATTTCCGTGTGTGCATGTGAATGTGAGGAGTGTGGCTGTGTGTGCAAGTGTGGGTGAGTGTGAGTGTGGATGTGGGTGGGTGGGTGCGAGTGTGCGCAGGTGTGAGTGTCGGGAGTGGGTGTGAGTGTGACGGTGTCTGTGGGTGTGTGTATGCAAGTGTGGGTGTGAGTGTGGATGTTAACGTGAGTTTGTGTGGGACTGTATATGTATGAGTGTGTGAGTGTGGCAGATGTGAGTGTGGAATGTAGCTCTGTGAGTGTGGGTGTGAGTGAGGGTGTCTGTGTGAAGAGATGGATGGGGGCAGATGGATGGGCCCTTGTGAAAAGAAAGCCAACTGGGCCTGGACTCTACGAAAATCACAGACCTCAGACTCCCAGAGGCCCTGCTGCAGACCCAGTCTCTCACTCCTGAGCCTGGCACCATGCCCAGCCCAGAGCTGTGTCCTGTGCCCTAGCTGTGCCGGCGCTGCCTCTGCCCAACCCATGTGCCATTGCAGGTTATTGTGGGAGGGTCTCAAGAAGCCCAGGGTCTTCCTCGAGCTCCAACCTTTCCCAGCTTTGTTATCACTCCTTCTTTCTTTCCCTGTGGCCCATGCAGGGCTGCCATGGCTGGGGGGCTACACACTCCAATGCCAGGGAGGGAGAAGGAGCCATCGCCTACCTCCCCATGTCTTTCCCTGGCCCAGGCATGCCAGTCACTGAGACTTGAGGAGAAGGGCCCCCACACTGCTCAGGCCCCTGCAGCTACCCCCACAAGCTGACTATCAAAGCCCCAGAGGAACTTCCTAGCGCCAGCAATGCCTTGGGGATGGGGTAGGCATAGAAGAAGAGCCATTTGATTTGATTACTTGGCTCTGCCAAGCAGAGCCATTTACATGTTAAAGACTTTTTTTGTTATTATTCTGCATATTACATTTCAAACAAAAACCCCAAACCAATCCTCAGAGCAAAGACCCTTTTGTATTCCCCACAAAGCAACCTGCTGCTTCCAGCACCAGGCCCTGGATTCAGGGCTGCAGCATCAGGGAACCTGCATCCACACCAACCTGTCAGCACAGAGACACAGACTCAAACGATAGGGAGGGGTGGGGGAGGAGACACTGCAGCTGGGGTGGAATGCATTCATTCATTCATTCATTCATTCATTCACCACTCATTCCTCCCACAAACGTCGTCAGCGCTGTCTCTGGTCCAGGCACTGTGCTGGGTGCATTTGCACCAGACAAGGATGTCTGTATTCTTGGAGCTAAGGCTCTAGTAAAATTAAAAATGGCTGATGGATAAAAAATAACAATAAGATAATAAATAAAAATTTATTGCAATAAAGTCAAATAAAACATTTTAAGTCAATTCAAAAATATGGCTGAGTGGATGATAGAGTATATTCGCGGGTGATCACTGTTATGGGTAAAACTAAATCGAGGCAGAGGATCAGGAGAGCCTAGTGTAGAAGCTGGAGGAGTATGGAGAGGAGGCTAGGCAGGCCTGGTCAGCACCAGAAAGTGAGGGTAGAGGCTTCACGGAGTCCTGGGGCAAGCTCTGGGGTTGAGTCTCTAAGAGAGGTATACCGGTTCTGGTGAAGGCAAGGAGAACAGCATAAGGTGGCCCAGGGCAGTGAGCCCTGAGGCCTGGGGGAGCAGATGGGCAGCACAAGGCCTGGCGACTCCTGTGTGGACCCTGACTTTTCCTCTAGCGAGATGGGAGCTGTTGGGAGCTTTGATCTGAGTGAGCTGTGTGCACCAGCATCTTTCTGGTGCCATGATGAGAACAGACCAAGTGGGACAGGGCGGAGGCAGGGAGACCTGTCAGGAAGCCATTCCAAGAATCCAGGGGAGAGACGATGGTGGCTTAGCCATGGGGGTGGTCAGTGGGCTGAGCTAGAAGGGTGGGCTCCTGGGGATGGGAAGAGGGGAGAGTGCAGGGGACCCCAAGGCACTGGACCTGAGCACTGGAGGGAGGGCAGATGGAGAAGCCTCACGGGGGCTGGTGTGGGCTGAAGCACCCAGCTTGGGGACATGCTTGTGTAAGAAGCCTATGTCATCCCAGTGGAGAAGCAGTGGACAGAGAATCCAGAGCTAACGAGAGAGGCAAGCTGGCAGGACTGCAAAGTCCTCCATGGGTAGGTGATATTCAAAGGTGTGAGACGGTCAGAAGTCATCAAGAAAAGGAGTACAACAGAAGACAGATGATTAAAGTTGGGGACATGGGACATGCCAGTGTTTTGAGGTCGGGAGATGAGAAGAGCCCAGCAATGGGACTAGGAAGGTGCACCCGCCACAGAGCCAGGAGGAGGGAGGCTGCAGTCCTGAGCCCGGGGAACAGTGGGGGCGGGACAGGTAAGGAAAGGACTGAGATTGGGCCACTGGACCAAGCTACACATAAGTCATGAGAATGCTCATTGGAGCAGCTCTGAGAGTCGTGAGGGCAAATGCCTGACCACAGTGCGCACAGGAGCAATGGAGAGAAAGGCATGGGAGACAGAGCATACAGAACGGCCTTTTCAAGAGCTTCGCTGTAAGTGGGTGGGGGAGCGGCAGAGGAGACGCAGAGGACAGTAGCTGCAGAGGAAGTGGACCAAGCGCAGGAATCTTTAGGGCAGGAGATAACACAGTGTCCTTATGAGCAGATGGAAATAATCCACTAGAGAAGGAAACTTGATGATGAAGGAGAGGAGGGAGAGAACTGCTGGGTGATGGCCTGGAGCAAAGGAGGCGGACGGATGGGATGTAGTGCCCAAGGAAAGGGCGTCTCAGACAGGACATGGGCAGGTCAGCAGTGAGCCCGAGCGTTGTCCAGGACACGGGTGGGTAGGCAGGCAGGTGTGGGGATGGAGCATCGCCATCCACTGCCACCTTCTCTCTCCTCAGTGAACTATATAGGGAACAAAACTCTGCTGCTCGGGGCTGTGGCCAGCATGGAGGAGAGAGGAGGTGTTGCAGATGCGGAAAGAGAGGGGAAGGTCAGACGGAGTGGAGAAAGAATGGCCCGGAGAAACGCGATATGACGGCCAAAACTGGTCACGTGGGTGTTCTTTTTTTTTCCACCCTTAGCTGCAGGTTGGGGTTTTGCCCAGTGCTACTGCAGTTCATACCTGAGCTTGGCTTGGTCATCCATATCCCCAGCATCTAACGACATTCTACGGACACTCAACAGGTATGTGAGAGACAAAAGGACCAGGAGGAAGACACCAATGATGGGTAAACTTCGCCCACCTGGCACCAGCACCAACAAGATCTAGAAAGCACCTGCTCACCTGCACTGTGGAGGGGCAGTTCCTCAGCTGACTCAAACACCTCATCCATCCCCCCTACAGACAGTGTCCCTACCTTCTTGCTCCTCCTGTTGCCAGAGAGGTTTGAGGGGCTTAGCTCAGCTCGGCCCTAGCTAGTGCTACTGGGAAGTGGCCAGTTTCCCCATAGCACTGGCCCCACCAGCCCTGAGTTAACTACAGTGGCTCCCACACCATGGCTGGCAGCCACAGCCCATCTCCAATGTCCCCATACACTCTTCAGGGCATCTGAGAACCAACACTCAGTCCCAGTGGCTCACCGTTAAGTGAAACCATTAGCAAAATTCTGTGACAAGAAGGAAAATGCTATGGTATTATAGAAGAAGCCACTGGAGGCAAAACAGATCATCACTGTGGTTATAGCTGTGCCCAATGTCTGTCTGTTTGAGGACAAGTTCTAGAAAGAACCACAGAAAAATTAAAACCATTTGCTTGTTAAGGTGGTGAGATGGTGGTTCCTCCTTTGTTTTCTTTTTAAATTCTGCAATGCTGTTGCCATCTTGGTTATACAATAAATTAAAAGTATGATTTTAAAAAAATAGGCTGGACACACCTTTAATCCTAGCACTTTGGGAGCCTGAGGCAGGCAGATCACTTGAGATCAGGAGTTCAAGACCAGCCTGGCCAACATAGTGAAACCCCGTCTCTACTAAAAATACAAAAATTAGCTGGGCATGGTGGCATGTGCCTGTAATCTCAGCTGCTTGGGAGGCTGAGGCAGAAGAATCGCTCGAACCCGAGAGACAGATGTTGCAGCGAATCAAGATTGCACCATTGCACTCCAGCCTGGGCAACAGAGGGAGACTCCATCTCAAAAATAAATATATAAATACATACATACATACATGCATACATACACACATACATACATACATACATACATACATACATACATACATACATACATAAAAATGATTATTCTACTGTATTCTACACAGGCAAAAATACTTTTAGAAATGAACAAGAAGATCTCATTCACAGAAGCAACAAAGAGTATAACTATTTAGAAATAAACTTCACTAGAGATGTGCATGACCCGTGTAAAGAAAACTACCAAACTTTATTTAGAGCTATAAAGATGGCTTGAATAAATAGAGAAAATAACTGTTCCCAGATGGGACTTTATGTTATAAAGATGTTACTTTCCCAAAAGTTAACTTATACATTTAATTCAATCTCAATCAAAATCTCAAAAGGATTTCTCCAAGGAATTATATAAAGTTATTCTAAAATCATTTTGAAAATAGATGAGAAAAATAAATAAAATTCAATAAATGAAAAGAAATGAGAGGAAACTAGATATAAAAATTATTAGAAAGCAATAACAAAGTACTGTAGAACTTGCACAAAAATAGAAATATGGATCAGAATTTAAAAATCTAGAAATAGACCTAATTGCATACAAGAATTTAATGCATTACAAAGCAGGTATCAACAAGCCATGGGGAAAGGAATTCTTGATTAATAAATTGCGCTGATAGTTTTGAGGAAAAGTAATTAGTTCAGAAACACACCTTTCCTCACACATCAGAAAATAAACGGTGGAGAGATTAAGGAGTCAACTAGAGAAGTCAAATGAAAGAAACCTAGCAGGAAATAGAAGGAAAAATTTATCTATTCCTTGGAGGGAGTGATAATTTCTCAAGTTTCATACTGATAAAAGAAAGTATAAATAAAAAGATAATTCAACAATATAAAAAGTACAAAAGCTTTGTAGGAAAGAAACAAGATAACTAAAATTAAAAATAGTCTATGAAACACATTTGTAGCAGTGTGTCAGGCAGCGTTGATAACTATAATATAAGGAGTTCACACAAACCGTTATAAAAAACAAAACTCCCAGAGGCCAGCAGATGAATGGGCTGGACAGAAAGTCCACCCATGGGAAGGTGCTGTTAGCAAACACAGGAAAATCCACCTCTCCGGGAATCCAATGGGAGGTCACTTCACATCTATTAAATAGCAGAAAATGAAAAACAAAGGCTTAATTGCCACATCAAATGCTTGTTGAGTTGTGGTAAAACCAATCTTCTTGCACACTGACAGGAAATGATCTTTTCGAAAGCAATTTGGCGTTACCATTGCAAGTACCATAAAAATGCCCACACTCTTTGACCCAATAATCTTCTTCTGAGAAAATAATTCGTTAGAAAGAAATGACTGCTTCAAAAAGATGTTCAACATGATTTATAATAACCAGAAACAGAAAACAATCTAAACCTCTAACAAAAGGTGATGTTTAAATAAATTAAAGAACATCAATTTAATGGCCAATTTATGCAACCATTGAAATGATAATTATGAAAACTGTAGCAACAGTGAAAAATGTTTACAGTATAATAAAGGAAGTTGCAACCAAAGCTGTAGTTGTGCCATAATTAAAAATATGTCTATGGACCAAGGACTGGAAGGGAATATAGAAGATGAAAATAGAACCATGGAGTCTGGCTCTATTATTTCCATTCTAATGTAATAGCATTTTTGTGTATTACATAAAAACTCAGACAAAGGAGTCTCTTTAGCTATAAGGTCAGCCTCACCTGACGTTCACTCCCTGCACTCCAGAACCCCTGTGCTGGGGGTGTGGGGCTATGGGCAGCCCTGGCCGTTCTTGTGAGGACTCACCCAGGCCTGGAGACCCAGGCTTCTACTGTGCTTCTCCTGGGGTGGCTGAAACGCCCTCCCCACCTCCCTGGAAAGGCCCCTCCTTCAGGACTCATCCTGGAGCTAAACATGCCCCCGAGGCTTCCTCACCTCCCTCTCTGTTTCTCAATCCCACTCCACCCCTACGGCACCTGCAACTCTCCCAGACACAGAGTTGCCAGAGTGTCCTGTGCCCTGCTCCCAGCCTGGGGTTTCCTTGAGGGCAGTGGTTCTATCCAGTTTGTGTCTGGAGGCCCGGTGCTGAGCTCTGGCCTGGTATAAGGCTGACATTGGTAATGGTTTGTTCACCACTCACGGATCCCTGGCCTGCAATTTTATGCCAAGCCTGGGTGGCACGTGAGGAAGGAGTGGACAGCATCCCGTCTTCCAGAAGCTCCCGGGCTAGCTGCAGAGGAAAGGAGCTCACATATCTGAGGCACTGGGGGTAGTTCCATGTCCTATTCCATTCCACCCCCACCCGGCCCTATAAGGGGAGCTATCATCACCTCTACTTTATAGATGCCCTCACAAGCTCAGAGAGGTAACGTCACATACAACCAATCCTGCCTGCCTGTTCCATGTGGTACTGCAGGACAACAACTAGCTTTCCATGTGGGCAATAAGATTTCTTTTTTTTTTTTTTGTATAATAAATGTCTACATTTATTCATCCTACATAACATAAACTTTATATCCTTTGACCAGCATCTCCCCATTCTCCCTTCTTTCCTGGCCTCTGGTAACCATGTCCTGTTCTCTATTTCTTTTTTTTTTTTATCATTATACTTTAACTTCTAGGGTACATGTGCACAATGTGCAGGTTTGTTACATATGTATACATGTGCCATGTTGGTGTGCTGCACCCATTAACTCGTCATTTACATTAGGTATATCTCCTAATGCTATCCCTCCCCCCTCGCCCCCCTCCCCACAACAGGCCCTGGTGTGTGAAGTTCCCCTTCCTGGAAACCATCATTCTCAGCAAACTATCTCAAGGACAAAAATCCAAACACCACATGTTCTCACTCATAGGAGGGAATTGAACAATGACAACACTTGGACACAGGAAGTGGGCAATAAGATTTCAATAGCGCTTTGCCAATGTGGATTGTGAGGGCTTAGCAGAAAGCCAGCAGAAAATCCAGGGCTTGTGCCTGTCCCTCCAACACCAAGCAGAGTCAAGGGCCCATGAACCACACTCCCTACCCCAAAGACCCTGGTTCCCACTGACACTTGGGCCACCAAACTGCAAATGGGACAGACCCACGTGCTGGAGTTAGTCTTGGGGACACTGAAATTCGGCACTGCTGACAATCTCCATGAGGCCTTTCCAATCCCCTGCCTGGACCTGGCCCAGTGGAATATGTACTTGGCTAAATAGTGTTCTCCAAAAAGTCACATCCACCCCAACCTCAGAATATGACCTTATATAGAAATAGTGTGTTTGCAGATGTCATTAGTTGAGATGAGGTCATATTAGATTAGGGAGGGCCTTACATCCAACACCTGGTGTCCTCATATGACGAGGAGAGAACACACAGAGACATTGCAGAGAGAAGAAGCCCATTTGAGGATGGTGGCAGAAAATGGGGGATGCATCTACAAGCCAAAGAAAGCTACGGCACACCAGAAGCCACAGAAGCTACAAGAGGCAAGAAAGAATTCCTCCCAAACTGGGAGAAGAATACATTTCTGTTGTTGTAAGCCATCCAGTTTGTGGAAATTTGATATGGTAGCCCTAGAAAACTAAAACAGTGGGCTCGATGGCGCAAGCTGGTGGTCCCAGCTACTCAGAAGGCTGAAGCAGGAGGATCGCTTGAGCCCAGAAGTTTGGGACTGCCATCAGCTATGATTGTACCACTTTACTCCAACCTGGGTGACAGAGCCAGAGGGAACAGGGGAGGGAGGAAGGGAGGGAGGGAGGGAGGAAAGACAGGGGAGGGGAAGGGAGGGGAAGGGAGGGGAGGGGAGGGGAGGGGAGGGGAGGGGAGGGAAAAAACAAAATACCTGGAAAGAGCTTTTCCTTAAATAGAGTTCCCTGCAGCCTCCACCCTCCCAGGCTGATCCTGGCCTGGGAATGGCAAAGACCAGCTTCTTCTAGGTCCACCTGAGCTATCCAACACTTATGAATGAAGCTATGGTAACTGGAGCAGGAGGAAAGAACCCTCCTGAGCTTGGCCTGGGACTCCAAGCACAGCATTTCCCCGGGCTCCAGTCCGCTCCACCCTGATGCAGCCAGCCACTTCCCACTCCCACCTGGAGAATGCACCTAGAGTCCAGGGTGCAGTCCGGGAAGCCTGGGCTAGGAAGAAAAGACAGAAGAGAAGACAGAGCTACAGCATCCTGGGGAATGGGAAGGGCAGAGAGTGGGAGCTTTGGAAGCAGAAAGACTGGGTTCAAATTCCATCTCCACCATTTACCAGCTAGGCGGTCTTGGAGAAGTTGCTGAACCCTCTCTATTGCTAGTCCATATGTTTAGGCCAAAATGCACAGGCCCTGGAGGGTCCCCTGCCATCCAAGGAAGGCTAAGGGAATAAGTGCTTAGCTTTCAGGTGCCCCCCACCCACCAGCCCATGGGAGCAGAAAAGAGACAATGAGGCCGGCTCACCACGAGGACCAAGCCACAGGCCACAGACCAGCTGAGAGGTACCTCACCTTGGACCTGCTGCTGGGGGCCCTGGCAGACTCTAGCTCAGAGTGGCTTGTCGATTTTCTGCTTCAGGTTGCACTGAAGAAACATCAAAAATCAATCAGCTCCATCTATCTATCTTTGCCACTGACACCCTTCATTTCCATTCATTTTCCTTCCTGTTGTGCTAATGGTGTGTGGCTAAGCCACAGCATAAAAGAAGATATAAAATTACACAGCATTATCTTTCCCCTGAGCCTGCACACATGTGCTTTTCTCTCCATCTCTGCCAGCTCTTTAAAGGGGGAGCAGACACACATCTCACCCAGATCTAGACCCATTTTCAAGGGGCCTACCATCCAGCAGATGGACCCTTGGCCACAAGGAACTGTTCCAACCTTGTATCCCCACCTTCCCAAGGAAAGGGGGAGCAGGGACCCCCAAGGCCCGAGAATGAGAAAGCCAGTGCATCCAAAAGCCAGTGCATCCAGCCCTCTGCCTCTGAGCAGTGTTTGCCTGAACCATTGTCACCATTGGTCCCAGGATGGACAATCATCACTGATAAAGGACCCCAAGGACCCCTTCTGCAATCAGTTTCTTTACCCTTCTTAAGGCCTCAGTACTATTAAAAAGAGCAGATGTTCACAGCCCTCGGATAACAGCTTTCTGATTCAACAGATCAAACACATTTCAGGTGTCTTCATTGGTTTTGTACCTGAAAGACCCTCTTAAGTCATCAAGGCTATATTTGCACCCCCAAAAATGGGCTCAGACACAGCCATGATTTGCTGCCTGGCTCCCAGGCCACCTGACTGGCCCTCACTCTACTTCTGGCCTTCCCTGGCTCCCAGCCCGCCACCTACTTCTGTGCTAAAAGCCTCACTTGGCTCACACAGCTCCATTTATTTGACCCTTAGCTTCCCTCCTCACCCTGGCACATGGTCTAGGTCACAGCCAGGTGAGGTCTCTGCAGGATGTGGCCCAGCCTGGCAGGCAGATCCTGGACATGAACAGCAGCTCCTCCTTGAGACTCACTCCACAGGGGCCACCATGCCTTCTTGGGAGACACATCTGCAGCAAGAGGCAGTAGTCCTCGCCCAGCAGAGGAAAAGAAAGGGGAACCAGGGGCAGCACTGATGAGCCTCGGAGGTTTGAGAAGCACTCTGGGGTACTTTTTGTGAATGAAAACTTCTAACACCTCCTTGGGAATTTGATGCAACCAATGAATCCTCTCCCCACCTCCCCACAAGGTCTATGCTCACATCCACAGAGCCTCTGCCTACAACCTCACATGGCCAAGGATGCTCAACCATGAATCGCAGTGAAAGGTTTGTGGATGTGCTTCTTGATATGATGATATTTGAAACACACAGCACCCCCAATCCTGTATGCTTACCACAAATGCCTTCCCTGGATCACACTCACCTCCAGACCCAACTTCCAGCTTGCAGGCAATACAGGGGACAGAGGAACAGGTTAAATGTCACCCTAAGGAAGCAATTGGCTAGATTCAGTAGCTGAAACATTCTACAGGACAACTGGCCCATGCTATACAAGTCAATGTCATAGGAAAGAAAGGGGGTTGTTCTAGACCTTAGTTACTCAAGGTGTATTTCTTGAACCACCAGCAGCAGCGCCAATTGAGAGCTTGTTAGAAATGCAGAATCTCAGGCCCTCCCTGGACCTAGAAGCAGAATCTGCATTTTAGCAAGATCTCCAGGTGATCTGTGTGCACACACAGAAGTCTGACAAACACTCGTCTAAATAGGAAGAGATTTATGTGAAATAATGAATCACATGTGTTGTCCTGGATTGAATCCCAGCTGGAACCAATCAGGTATAAGAGATATTTTGGGGGCAATTAGGGAAATTTGAATATGGATTGTGTTAGACTATATTAAGAAATTAGAATTATTCTGCTAGGCATGAAATGTAGGAAAATGTCCTCCAATTTTTAGGGATGCATACTTAAGTGTTTAGAAGTAAAATGCCATGATGTCTGTAATTTACTTTGAAATATTTCAACAACAAAAAATAGATGAAGCAGATATATGACAAATGTTAACAATGTTTAAATCCAGATGTAAATGGCTATGTCCATTACACTAGTCTATACTTCTCTGTATGTACAAAAATATTTTTAAAAAAATTAGAAATATAAGGAAAGAACCTCTTACTTCATTAGAGTTTTTCTGAACAAAGAGTGGAGCACTGCCCAGGAGGATGTCAGCACAGGTTCTCTCCCCACATGACAGAGACTGTGCTCAGCAGGAAGGAGGGGCACAGGGAAGAAGCAGGCAAGGGGAGAGCATGCCTCTCTCGAGCACTCACTATCTAAGAGGCATGACAGCTGCAGATATTTATTTTCCTCATTGATCTTCCTGCCATTCCATGAGGTGGTCTCATTAGCTCCCTTTTACAGATGAGGAAACTGAGCCACCTAATGGACATCGCGTTGCCCCACATCACACAGTTATTAAGGGTTGTGGACAGGATTTCACTGACAGCCCTGGGCTCTCTCCAATCCACCAGCAGCTCACCCAGTTGCACAGGGAGCTATTTGAGAAGCCTCACCTGAATCTCTTCTGGGCACTCAGATGTCAGCAGGAGACGCCAGCAGGGCTCGTCCTGAGCCGTTCCTGTCTCTCCTGGGGCTTTTCTGGGCACACCCTCTAAGATCTGCCTCCACATGTTATCTCCAGGCTTAATTGACCTCACTGCCTCTGACCTTTTAAAGACACACCAGTTTTCCCTTTTTAGTCTCAGGTCATTGGTCATTACTTCTCGTTGCCATGGTTTTTCCTATCTCCATCATTTCCTCCCCTCCAGCTGGAGACTCTTGCAGGCTGTGAAGCCCCCAACCCTGGTAGTGACTCTCTCTGCTCTTACCCCACTCAGAGGAGGCATCAAGAGGGGCCCAAGGGCCTACCCCAGCTCACTCCATTGCACTTCTCTGCACCTCCTACCTGTCCTGCCTCCTCAATAGCCTGCTTCAAAATGCATTCTGCCCCTCGGCTCACTGTGTGATGTCTCCTGGGAAGCCCAGAAGCTGTGTGTTTAAGATGCACCAGGACAAAGAGAAGGCAGGAGCCCCAACATACTTATGTTGAGAAAGACATCTGGCAGAGGGGACTCCTCCTCTTCCTGCCCCTGGACACATGCTCCACATGTCCCACCCTCAGCTGCCTCACTCAGCTCCCTGTGAATCCTGACCCTTGCTCACCCCTGGCTCTGCTGCTGGGGTTCCACAGAAGAACACTTCTGCTCCTGGACCTCTGAGCAGGACCCAGTAGGCACCTGCTAAGCCCCACAGAACTATGCCTCTGTCCACTATCCTGAGCACAGAAGGCATGGCAGATTTCAGGGCTGCTGACAGAGGCCCCCAAAGGCAGAAAGAGAAACTGGGAGGAAGCTAACACACTGGTAAGGTATGACTCATGGCCTGGCACTGTGCTCAGTCCTGCCATATCCATCATCTCTGTCGATCTCCAACACTCCTGTAAGATATGAGCTACGATCTCCATTTTACAGATGGAAAAATGAAGGCTTCAAGAGGGACAAGGAAACTTGTCTTTGTCAGAGAAGCAGGGGTTAGAACTCAGGCTGGCAAACTTCAAAGCCACACGCTTTCCATGGTCAAGGTGTGGGTGTTCTCAGCCCTGAGCCTCTTGGTCTACATCTGGGTTAGAGCAGTACTTTAAAGCATCTGGGTGGCGTTGTCCCTGTCTGCGGTGGTTAATTTCATGGGCCAATTTTTCTAGGCTATGGGGGCCAGTTATTTCGTCAAACATGAGTCTAGAGGTTGCTATGAAGGTATTTTTCAGATGTGATTAACATTTAATCAGTAGATTCTGAGTAAAGCAGATTACCTTCTATAGTGTGGGTAGGTCTTATCAGCTGAAGGGCTTAAGGAAAAAAAAAAAAAAACTGATGTCCCCTGAGGAAGAAAGAATTCTGCCCTAGACTGTCTTCAGACTCAAGACTGCAACATCAACTCTCCCCAGGTCTCCAGCCTGCTCTGCAGATTTCGCACTTTGCCAGAGCCTACACTCATGTAAGCTAATTCCATCTCTTGGGGGAAGCCCTCCCTCAACTTCCCATCATTGGTCAGGAGCACACGACAGGTGCTGAGAGGCAGGGCCTGTGCCTGCTCTGAGATGTGTCCCATAAGCCTATCTCTATTTCTCTTAAACTGATGGGAAGTGACATGGCTGGGCATTGATCTTGGCTTTAGGATTGTGTAAAACCCAAAAGAAAGAGTTGTTACTGCATAACCATGTGATTCTCAGACCTCACTGCCTTCTCCTTGGTCCCTCATGCCTGGGAAGCACTAGAATGTCTAACATCACATCTGAGGCCCCAAAGGCTGTGGAGGCAGCAGCCAGTGGGGAGGAGTGAGGGCCTCTGCATGCAGACATTTCTCGGTTTGCCCCCCACCACCACCATAATAGGAGGAGTGGCAGCATTATCTCTCAGGAACAACAGGAACTGGGGATTCCAATAAGGTCTTCCCCTGGGGCCAGAACAGATGGCTCCCCTGGGATTTCAGAGAGGAGGATCACACAATGCCTCTGGCCCTCTGGGGAGAAAGGAGGGGCTGAGCCTCCCATTGAGCACTTTCTATACTTTGTCTACAATCTTCACAAAAATTCTATAACATTGTCTCCATTTTATAGTTGAGGAACTTGAGGCTTAAGGAGTTAAGACACAAGCCTTCTCTTTCTGAAGACCTTGATACAAGACATTTACAAATGCACATTCCTATGTTCCAGCCCAATTCCGCCCACCATAACTTGGGGGTGATCAGTGCCCCAACATCTACCCTGACTACATTTAGAAACACTTTTTCCTGCTGTCTCTCAGCCATGGAAAAGATGACTCCACCTGACCTGTGGATGCAGAGAGGAGGAAAAGCCTTCAGGGATCGTTCCATCAAAACCCTTTAGTCAAGGCTTTGGGCAAACAAGTGGGTACTAGCCTCTTCTCCAGATCTTAAAAGAAAGAGTCCTCCTCTGAGCTTAGGGACCTAGCTTGGGAGCCCCTCATGCTGGAGCCCCAGGCCCCAGTTGGTCCCCTGCTACAGCTCTGGCTCTCACAAGGACTGAGTATTCATGGGCTCTGGTGGCTTATACAGGGCTCTCTTGAGCCAAAACCAGTGGAGAAAGCTCTTTGTTCAGGTAACATTCCCCAATAGCTTCCTCCCAGTGATTTAAAATAGCTCCTAGTCACATTTGGCACTCCCTTATCTGATTCAAGGAGACTTCCAAATCCCAGGGACAGACAGGGGAAACTATCTAGAAATTTCCAAGTAGAAACCTGTGGTAACCTGGGCTCAGAAACCAAAGGGACTTCAAGATGAAGGCCTCCTATACTGGGCTCAGTTCCCTCCAATCTCTCCCTCCTGTGATTGCCATGATCTGGCTTCCAGAGGCCAGCAGTCGGAGCAGTGAAGAAAGGAGGAAGGGAAAAAGAGAGAGGGGGAAGAAGGAGGTCCAGCACCCAGGCTAGAAAACAAAGGTGTCCTCCAGAAACAGAGATCCAAAGTCCCTGAGGACCATGTTGACATTAAAGAGTCCTAAGGTACCCTAACAGCTAAAAGTTCCAGAGAGCCAGACAGTTCTGCCTTACCAGAGCTTAGGATAACTGTGTCTTCCTGGCGCTGTCCGAGGTACTGATCCACCTTTGTTGCGATACAGTTGGTATACCTAACACTGCACATAATCAATATCTATAGTTTGGTTAGTTTGGACATGTGTAAACAGTTGTGTCGCCCTCACCACAGTACAAGTAATAAACATATCCATTACCTCCAAAAATTACCTTGTGTCCCCAGATGATGACAAGTATTGGTGAAGATGTGGAGAAAATGGAAGCTTTGCACACTGTTGGTAAGAATATAAGTTGGTAATAGCCATTATGGAAAACAGTATTGGGTATTGGCAGTTCTATAAAAAACTAAAAATAGAACTACCGTATAATTCAGCAATCTCACTTCTGGACATGTACCCAAAGGAATTGAAATCTGTATCTCAAAGAAATATTGCACTCCCATGTCCATTGCAGCATAATCCACAATAGCCAAGGTATGCAAACAGCCTAAGTGGCCATCAATGAGCGAATGGATAAAGAAAATGTGGTATACATACACAATGGAATTCAGCCTTAAAAAAGAATTAAATCCTGCCATTTGCAATAACATGGGTGAACCTAGAGAACGTTATGCTTTGTTATAAGCCAGACATATAAAGACAAATACTGCACAATCTCACTTATATGTGGAAATCTAAAGAAGTAGAACTCAAAAAAGCAGAGCATAGAAAGGTGGTTGCCAGGAGCTGCTGTGGGGGGGAATGGGGAGATTTTGGCCAAAAGGTACAAACTTAGTTGCAAGATGAATAAGTTCTAAAGATCTAATGCACAGCACGAAGATTATAGTTAATAATAATGTACTGTATACTTCAAATTTACTAAGAGAGAATTTCTTAAGTTTCCTCACCACAAAAAAGAAAAATGTTAACTATATGAGGTGATGATATGTTCATTAGCCTGATTCTGGTGATCACTTTACAATGCATATCAAAACACCATGTTGTACACCTTAAATATTTTTATTGTCCATTATATCTAATAAAGCTGGAGGAAAATCAAGTAAAAACAAAATGTCCTTTGTTCCTTTGTTTTTGTTGATGTTTTTGTGCATATGTTTGTGCACTAAACATGAGATCTACGCTCTGAACAAATTTCTACATATACAATCTCCTGTTTTTAACTACAGGCACCATGCTGTGCAGGGGATCCCCGGAACTTACTCATCTCATACAACTGTAGGTTTATACCCATTGAACAACAGCCCCCTACATCCCCTCCCCCAAGGACCACCATTCTTCATCCCCACTCCTGGCTTCCACCTCAGTGTGAATTCTGCAGTCCAGAATTCTGCTCTCACTCCCTGCCATCCTGCCCATCTTGACTGTGCCACCCTAGACACTCACTTTCCAGCCTGCCCCACCTCCAGAAGCAGTTCCTCTTTATCCTCATGGATGTGCAAACTGAGCCCACCTCTGAGTGGCCAGCTGGGTCCGTCTACCTCCAGACCTGAACTAGGGCCCACCAGACATTGGGATGAGGCCCTAGCCCCTGGTCCCAGCCCCAGAGCCACTTCCAGAATCTGTGGATATTTGGTTGAAACAGGTCATTGCTTCTGTACATCCTGACAGATTGGAGAGGCAAGGAAGTCTATGCCCAAAGGAACTGGTGAAATACAAACACCAAACACCCAGCCTCAGAGTGACTGTGGGTCACTGTTCACAAGCCACAGACTCTCCCATGGGGTGGTATTGTTCAAAAGAGAAATCTACTATGCTGCAGAAGGAAATGTATTAGGTCCAATGGGAAGTATGTTAAATACACTTGGTTAGAGGATCTCTTAATCCATCTCATGTTGCTGTAACGGAATGCTCGAGACTGGGTAATTTATTAAAAAAACAGAGATTTATTCCTTACACTTCTGGAGGCTGGGAAGTCCAAGGTTGAGGGGCCCACATCTGCTGAGGGCTTTCTTGCCACATCATCTCATAGCAGAAGGCGGAAGGCACAAGGGCAGGAGAGCACGAGAGAGCACGAGAGGGCCTACCTCACTTCGGTAACAACTCACTCTCAATAATGAACCCACTCCCTCAATGACATTAATCCATTCATGAGAGCAGAGCCCTCACGACCTACTCGCCTTTTAATGGTCTCACTTCTTAACACCATCATAATGGAAATTAAATTTCAACATGCGTTTTGGAGAGGACACTCAAACCATAGCAGATGGTTTCTAAAAATATATTTATCTAGTAATTTATGTTTGGATATAGCCTATACTCTATGTCAGTAGGAAGACAATAGAGTAAACTAGTGAATTTAGGAAAACTTGTCTTAGTACTTAGGGTTTATAAAGTCACAATAGAGATAAGGGGCTAGGAAGCTTCAGAGCATTAATTTTCTTAAGACAACAGAGTAAGGTGAGTCCCAAAGACACAGCTGGAGTTTGACAAAGTGAAAAATGGGGTCCAGATGAGACAAGAGCCTACAGACAGCATCCTCGGTCATCCATTAAGGGCCCCCCTCCTTATACTAATGATACAATAATTAACAAAACCATAGTAGATAAAGTAACTGAGCAGTGTTGGGTCTTGTCAGAACTACCCTGGAAGAAGTACTGGCATAGTTTGCAGGGAGTTAAATGGTGGGCCAAGAAAGCGGTCATACATAAAAGGGATCATGCCTGCATGCTCATGTGTCCTGGGCACAGTACACAGCTGTTGTGGCTCCCGCAGGCATTGTTTCAACACAGTAAAGAATCGGAGAAGTCCACATGGCCTTCTCTGTTCTACCTGGCAGCATCCTGTCCTGGCAGCACCGCGTGGGAGGAACTCTGAACTAGAGATGGCAGCTTTTGTTCTCCCAGTGATCTTTATGGGGGACTTGAATTGCTAGCAGTGTGGCCTCTGACCTCCATGGTCACTGCCGTCAAAGAACCATCTAAGGAACGTCCAATAAGTAGAATGGGATCAATAGCCTTCAATGTCCTTCCTTCTGAAGTATATTTGTCCAATTAGCACACAAAGGTTGTACTGAAGTCCCTCCTCCTACAAAGCCTCACTGCTGGGAGAGACATCCTAAGAGAGGATGCCAGTGCCTCAATGATTTCAGCCTCTGAACTGTGTTTCCTCCAGCCAGGACACAGCTGGCTCTTCTCCATCTCTCCCTCACCACCTTTCCAGAACTCACAGCTTCAAGCCCACTACCACCCCTTTATGTCCAAGCCGGCTGGCCTGAGGCCACCTGCTAGGGTCAGCAGCCTCAGCTCCACCACCTGCACTGCTTGAATCACTTCTGCTGTTTGCTGAGCCAGAATCCTGTGCCCAGGGCAGTGCCCTCACCCTCACCTGGCTCTCCTGCTGGCTCTGACCTGACCCTGAGAAATTTTGAGGCAGCCCTCATACCTTCCTGGCCCCATCCCCAAGCCCAGATTCTTCTAACCAGGCCCATAGCCACTAGTGGGTCTCATGGTGAACAGACATAGCCCAATGCCCCCAAAGCTTTCTCCATCATGCTCTTCTCAATGGACTGTACCTCAAGGGGCTGCTCAGGACAGAGCCACACTGAGATTCTTTATATACTTGGCCATTGTGCCTCTCCATCCCCAGCACTTTCACCAGACCAGCATCTGTCATGGTGGTCCCCAGCCCTGTGTGGGGTAGAGGGGTGGGCAGCAAGACCCCATCAGCTTCCAACTTGTGTCTGACACCACCAATATGCCTTGAGCCCTCAGGACCCCAATCACAATTGGGTGCATCAGCCAGCCAGTGCCCTTGCTGAGGAGCAGGTACCTGAGTGTTGGGGAGAAAGGCATATATCTACCTGGTCTCCAGGCTTCCCACTGCGCCACGCATGGTTTCTGCAAAGAGGATGGAGACTCCAGAAAAGGCAGCTGATGGCCCTCAAACCTAGACAGACATGCCTGCTGCCCCTCTGTCACCTCAGCCCAGAGACTCCACATCTGCTGGAGCACCCCAGTCTGCTGGAGACTGAAATGCCCCCACATTTATTTTTGGAGCATCCAAAAAGCCAAAGTCAGAGGAATTTACAACTTGGCTGTCTTTGGTAACACCATGCAGCAGTCTGTTCAGTAATAGCCTGTTATCTCTCAGCTCAGATCTCTCCATCCCAGACAGCAGAGGGTACAGGAAGGTGAGCATGACAGATTTCCAGGCAATCCATCCTGAAAGAGCCTCGTGGGTCAAGATGGAGGAGGAGCAGAGTGAGGAGGACATGGGCAGGAGGAAGAGGAGGGGCAGTGAGGACAAGGAGAAAGGAGAGAGGGAGGAAAGGTAGACTGATATTTTCTGAGACTCTCCTCTGTGCCAGCCACAGAACTAAGACACCATATAGTGGTACCTTGTTCAATCCTCCAAGAGCCTACTGAGCCGGAGTTATTCCCTCATTACCATTGACAAAAGGAGGGCTCAGAGATATTAAGAAATGTCCTTAAATCACATAGCCAGCAAGTACAGACTCAGACTGTCAGACGTGAAAGGCCATGCTCTTTCCACTGCACGGTGCAGCTTCAGCAAGCAGGAGGAGGATATCCTGGGGCAGCTGGGAGACCTAGTCGGGGCAGCTGGGAGACCTAATCAGGACAGCAGATGGGTGTCACCCATATACTTGCTCCCATAATGCTTTGCTGTATCATGGGGTGTGGCTCCACAACAAAACTTGCCTCCACCAAAGCCTGAGGGAGTTACTGGTTCCCATTTGGGCCTCTCTAGCCAGGCAGGGCAAATGCCTAGACCACACTTGTATGATAAATGCCTAGAGAGGTGCAGGGGCTCCTGAGAACACTGGGATGCCAGAGTGGAAAAAAAAAAATGCACTGCTGCCTTTCTTTTTCTCTTGCTCTCTCTCTCTCCCTCTGCCCTTCCATCCATCCAACCTGAGAGTTCAAAACTTAACTCAAAAAACTACTGGCAGTTTAGGCATGGTGGCTCACGCCTGTAATTCCAGCACTTTGGGAGGCTGACGTGGGAGGACCACTTGAGCCCAGAAGTTCTAGGCTGCAGTGAGCTATGTGACTGAACCACTGAACTCCAGCCTGGGCAACAGAGTGAGACCTTGTCTTAAAAGAAAAGACAAATTGGCAGCCTCACAATCTGTTTTAATTAGCTGATTTTGAAACCCTTGATCTATAGGTCTGAGATTCTCACAGATTATTCAAACCAGGGTATCCACCAATGTAAACAGAACTGGGGAGCCCACTTCTGCATTGGGGGCTGGCCTTTGTTTCCCAGCACTTGTAATTTGTGCAAAGTGCCTTGTGGCTGACTGCCACCGCACAGGCTCTTTCTGCTGACAGGGCACTTCTGTAAAGTTCAGGCTGCCTCAGCTACTGTGAAGTTAAATGTGGGTGAAAACAAGGCAAACCTATCTCCAAATGTTTCTAGATGGCTTAGCTCCTTCAAGCCCAGATGACATCAGAGTCATTTCACTTTCAAAACAAATTCCCCCATGCTGGAAAAATGACTTTCCACAGTGGTGCCAAGAAGTAGCTGGAGGAAATGCACTCTTTGGTCTCCCACCCCACCCTAAACACACCGTCCCTTTCTTTGCTGGAGCTAATGACAAGAGCACTCACCCATCGCCTCCCAAGGAGCAAGTTCACCCTTCATTAGTCAGCAAAGGGAGGGGACTGCTTTCCTTCCAATCCGCTCCTCCAAAAGGATTTCTTCCCATCTGCCTCTGGCAGTGGATTCAAAAGCCTTGGTTCTGCCTCCCCGAAGTCCATGGAGAGGCCCATCTTAGACCCCAAGGGCCAGTGAAATAGGAAGCAGTGGGTGCCATGGAAGGAAGGTTCCGATCTTGGTTCCAACACTCACTAGTCCTGCGACTTGGGCAAGATGTTCCACCTTTCTTCAAATCACTGTCGATCACATCTCACAAGGTGACTTGGGAGACTGAGCCTTTTATAAACTATTAGGAGCTATCAGGGCTGTGACCTGCACCACCCCAGGGGATGCCATCCACATAGACTGCAGTGAACAGAGCCTGGAGTGTGTCTTCTGCAGTAGGGGGGTGTCAGTGGACAAACCCCAGTGGCCACATTAGCGGTGGCCCACCCACTGAGGGAGGAGCAACAGGACACCCAAGAGGCTCTGCAGCACAGGAAACCAGGACAGAGGATCCCAAACTCAGGCACGCCTCAAGGATGCCTAGCATCTTGCAGAGCTGTGGCAACGAAACAACAGAGCAGAGCACAGGCAGCCTCAGGAGGCCCCAAGCCTTTAGCCACAGCTCAGCTAGCACAGGCTCTAGGGCTGAGAGAGGCCAGGTGGGTTGGACAGAGCCGCCAGTCAGGGCTGGGGGAGGAGCCTGGGCAAGAGGAAAGTCCTGTGGAGGGAACTGGGGTTGAGACTATGCAGTGGGGAAAGGGGGATCAGAAGCTGGAACTTGGCAAGCTCTGTTTAATTCCTCTGCCATTAAAATAACCATGAAAATACTAACAGCGATCATTACCCAGCACTAACCATGTGCCAGGCACCAGGCCAAGCTCCTCACACATATCTTCTCAGGTCATCTTCACAACAACCCTGAGATGTTGACAGATAAGGATACAGAGGTTCCTAGAGGCTCAACAACTTGTCCAAATCACTCAGCCACTAATTTATGGGTCTGGAATTGGAACCCAGTCCCTCTGGCCCTGTCATGCATAGGAAATGTTAGTGTAATGAACAGAGGACTCTCCAGGCCTCTGAGCTCCCCTCCTCAGATCCCCACTCCCCAGAACTTGAAGTGTGGCACAGGGGCAGGAAGAGCCACCAGGGGAGTCTCCGTGGCAGGGAAATCTCCCTCTTTAGGCTCAGTTCAGTAGGTCCTTGGCACAAGATATAATGACGTCCGGGAACTTGCCCGCCTATCACCAAACCCTCTTCCAATCCAAAACCTCAATGTCAAAGCCCAGGAAATTCGTGGGAGAGGAACAGCCTTCTCCCCAGCTGAGGAGCAAGTGAGAGCTGGGCTGCACCCTGCGCTGGGGCGTCCCACTCTTCCCACACATCCCCAGCCCCCAGACTGGCGCTCCTGGTGGCTGGCTCCCTGAGGGACAGCTGGGCCTGTCGGCGCTTGTTGTTTCTGCCAAACTCCATGCTATTACAACAAAACCCCTGTATTTCTTGCAAACAATTTTCCCCTTCGCAATCTCATAAATTAATTCCCTCCTTTCAAGCTGACTGGCTTCCTGCTAATCTAACCACTAACCTATCACCATCCATAAACTAAATGATCCATAAACACTCTCCCATCTCTAGCCTAATGCACTAAAATTAGTTTTCGGTTTTTCCTGCTTTATCTTTCTTTGTTAAGGGCAGATCAGGTCCAGCTTCCTCTCTTCTTCCTCCTGAACATGAGTGGCTTCCAGCTCTTCACTCCTGAAGCTCCACTTCCTTGCCCCTCAGATACTGTAGCCAAGAGGTGGAACTGGCTGCTTTCAGCTGGTGCTCAGGGCCTGAGCTGCTGAGGGCTGACTCCTGCCTGCAACCCACCATAGAATGAGCCCCACATGAGCATGGATGGGACAGGTCCCAAGGGTTGTCCCAACCATGAAGTCAGAAACTCCAGATGATGGTAGGTGGCATAAAGGTGGCTCAGATCCCTGAGACAAGGGCTCCTCCCACTCCTTGGGCTCTGGTGATCAGTGGCCATCTGCCTCCCTGACCCCTCAGGGTGGGATCAGCTGTGCTTACAGAGCCTGGCCTGGGGAAATATCAGAGGAATCCCTGGCCTAGCTCAGAGATGGGCAAGGAAGCTTCAGGTGTTCTGGGGGCATTTCCTGCCAGGCCTGGGAAATGGTGGCACAGGTGCCCTTAGAAGGACAGGGTCAGTGGGCTGCAAGAGGTGCCTGCTGCTCACCAGAACAAGACCCCCTGAGGAGGCTGCTCTCTGAAGGTGGCACCTCTTATGAAGTCAACCTCAGCTCTTGGGCCAACAGTCCCCTTTCCCAGCACTCCTCAGATGTGTGCCAGCTGTCCTAGCCCTCTAGGCAGGGCCCGGAATCTGAGGCTGCCATTTGGAGCTCTGCCCAGTGCCCTGAGACCTACTGCAGGAGCATCAGAAAGGCCACATGGTGCAGAGCCAGAGCCCCCAGGATCCATCACAGAGCCACCAAGGCTTTGTGTTAGTCCATCCCATGGGAACCCTCCCTGAAGCCCTCCCCTGCTTGGGCCTGCAGTCAGGACCTCCATGTAACCTGTCCTTCCCAGGACTGACCTTCTGCCCCCGCCCACTGCTGGCATCCGATCCTGTTGTGCCGCACCCAGTTCAGAGCCGCCCTGCTTCCATCAAGCTTCCAGGCTCTGCCTCTGTCAAACAGCATGACCTTGAGCAAGTCACCTTCAGACTCCTCATCTGTGGGGCCCATACCTCCCCAGCTGTCACAAACATGAAACAGCAACATGATGAAAGCACTTAGCACATTGCCTTGTGGAGACCCCATAAAGCAAAGGCCCATTTTCCTCAGCCTTTGTCCTCCAGCCCCCGCCCCCAATAGCCACTGCAAGGTTCTTGCAATTTGTCACCCTGGCCAGGCATAGCCACACGCCAGCCAGCACTCCTGGACCCCAGGCAAGGAGGGCTGAGGCATCAGCACATGGAGCAGAGAAAAGCCCAGGGCAGGAACATGGTCTATGTGGCCCAGGAAGGGGGCTGGGGCTGCTTCCTCTAATGAGTCCAGGGCTGGGGAACTCCTCTCAGAACTACTACAGCCTCTGAGTCACACAAGGAACTGGATTTTGGCATATCTGGCCACAGTTTAATTTTGTATCAGTGAACCTGGTCACCCACCTGATCTGCTTCCTGCCCCACAATGCCTCCTTCCAGCCACATTAACCCATCCACCTGTGACCCATCCATGCACTCACCCTCCCCTTCATCCATCCATCCTCCCACCCATCCATTCATATGCCCCCATATTTTCCTTCAGCCACCCATATACATCTGCCTCCAACCATCCACCCATCCATCTATCTACTCCCACTCACACTCTATCAACCCAACCATCTATCCAACCATCCCCAACCTCCAATTCATCCAGCCACCTATCCAGCTCCAATCCCCAATAATCCATCCATCTACACATCATCCCACTGGCCACCCACCCACCCAGGCAGCTATAAACTCAGCCAGGTTTTCATCTATCCATCCATCCATTTACCCATTTTTCTAACTCCTATCTGTCAACCCATCCACTCATCCATCTATCCATCTACACATACACCCATCCATCACCTATTCACCTACCTACACACCCATCCCCCACTTTGATGAGACAGAGCAAGACCATCACAAAATATAAGACTAGATAGCCAGGGAACTAGAACTGGTCACAGACAGCACAGCAACCACTCTGGTCCACACTGGGGACCTCCACTCGACCAACACTCCCCATGACCTTCTGGTGCTGCACTCTGGGACATGCCACCAGGTGTGCCCCAGAATCCCCCAGGCAGACTTTGAGCTGCCAATACATTCTGCACATTTGGCCAGTAAGGCAGAGATCACATCACGCTCACTGTCCACCCTCCCACACACCCTCACAGCCAGGACTGACAGCTCCTTCATGTCAGGGGCTTTGCAGCCCTGACTTGCAAGGGAACCCAGTCTAAGCCAGTGTTCTCCAGAGTCTCCAGAGATACAACAATCCCCCCCATCAGGCACAGCCTGGCCCCTGAAGCTCTGCACATGCCTGAAACCAGACAAAGAGCCTTTCTCCAGTGCTGGACCCAGAGGCCCCTCAAAGCTGCCCCAGCCTAGGTGGAACAGCCCAGGCAAAGCCTCCAGGCTCGGGAGGGCAGAGCCCCAGTGGAAGATGGGACACAGGGTGGAGATGGAGCCAGCTCCTGAGACAGCAAGGGGTACCTAGCCTAGAATAAGCCAGCACTGTGAATTTAAAGCCCCAGGGCTCCTGAGCACCAGCCTTGCATCCTCCGAGGTCACTCCTGGGCGCTGCTCACCAGACCCACAAACCCCAACTGACCTGTTCAGCCTCCCTCCCATTCAGCTGCCAGATGAGATGGCTGTCTTGCTTTTATATGATTTTCCATGAGACATGGACAGGCTGGCATTCAGAAGCACATTATTACAAGCTAGTGCTTCTCACCCTGAGTGTGCACAAGAATCACAAGAATCACCCCCACTAAAATGCATATCCTCAGCCCCTTCCCCAAGAGATTCAGTCCAGCTGGTGGGGGTGTTGGGACAGGAATCTGTATAAAAGTACGGCCTTGGCAATTCTGATCCACGTGGCCCTAGGACCACTCAGTACAGAACAACACACATCTGAATCCCCTCAGAAGAGAGCTGCCTAGCTCCCCACCCCTTGCCTCTCTGCAGAAGGCAGAACTCCCCCCGGACCTGCCCACCCTGGGCATCTGCTCAGAGCTTCAGGGCTCATCCCAAGTCTGCATAGCCGCCCCTTTGTCCTGACCTCCTCATACTCTGATTCTAGATACTTGGCTTGCAGCTCCCTCCTGGGAGGGAGGCCGCACCTCCAGGCCTGGCTGGCTCATCCACAAGCCCCCTTCCCCACTCTGAGCAAGACAGACTCCTGCAGAGTAAAGGAAAGCATGTGAGTGGGTGTTCTGTGGACCTGTGAGTTTCTAGAAGTGTTATGAATGACCCAGGAAGAAAGCATTTGTAAAAATTATGACAAATAGCTTTGATGGTGTTTTTCAATTACCCACAATTACATCTCACCTGCTGAAAGTGTGGATTCTCCATACTGCCACATTTCTTGGGAACACACATCTGGCATCCTTGCACCCCACTTCTGCTGGGATGGCAGGAAGAAGAAGAGGTGGGCAGGCCTCGGGCAGCAAGGACCCTACACTCGATTCTCTCAGCCAGTGCTTCTGGCTGGGCCATGAAAGCAAGAGGGTCCCCATTCCTGACTGACTTAAAGAGCAGGAGGTCAAGGGATCCTCCACCAAACTGTGTCATTTTTTAATTTTAATTTTTATTTTTATTTTTAGACATGGTCGCACTCTGTCATCCAGGCTGGAGTGAAGTGGAACAATCATAGCTCATTGCAGCCTTGACCTCCTAAGTTCAAGCGATCCTCCCACCCCAGCCTCCTGAGTAGCTGGGACCACCAGCAAAAGCCACTACACCCAGATAATTTTTTAATTTTTTTTGTAAAGACAGGGTATTGCCGTTGCCCAGGCTGGTCTTGAACTCCTGGCCTCAAGCAATCCTCCCACCTTGGTCTCCCAAAGCACTAGGATTACTGGCACAAGCCACTGCCCCTGACCTGCATCCTTTGACTTATATAGACTGAAGGGCTGGGCTGGGCTCCCCAAGCAGAAAAAAAGGCCCAGGTGCTTGGGGAGCCTCACCCCACTGCCTGCCTCCTCTTCAGAGGCATGAGAAAGGCCAAGGCCCCCTCCAGGCAGGCAGGAAAAGGCAATGACTCAGCACCTGAGTGCTGGTGCCAGGAGTGGCTGTCTAACCTGCTGCAGCTGCTAGAACACAGTGGACCCCAGAAGTCATGGCCCCACCTTGGCTTTAATTCTGCACATCGCATGTAACTCAGACCTAGTCATGGCCACTGCTGCCACACAGAAGCCATGCCAGAGCTGAAAAACACCTTCTGTCACCAGTCAAGCTCCGTGCTCTGCTGCAGTGGCTACTCCGAAGGTCCTGCCCTCTGCCTGCCAGGGCCAGCCCACACCAGGGGTCCACACAGGCTGACAGGTTGGGAGTAAAGCTCAGATTGCAGCCCCCTCCTGCTATGAAAAGCCCACTTCTGATGTCCTGGGGATGCCCCAGGGCCTGAGGACAAGAGAACCCACACAGGCTAGGCCTGGCATCCTCCCTGTCCGTTCCCTGGAGCCAGAAGTTGAGCCTGAGGACATGGCAGGGTGAGGGACAGCAGGGAAGAGGAACTCACCCTTGCTGAGACCCTACCATAGGCAGGGCAATCTGCTAGATACTCATTCACTCATTCACTCCCTCATTCATTCATTCATTCATCCATTCATTCAACTAAGCACCTACTGGTCACCAAGCGCTTAAGATTCACCTGAGAACCAGACTTAGAACCTGTTCTCATGGAGCTCCATTCTAGCAGGAGAGAAAGCACTAAAAACTAAACAAGTAAATACATATACATCATGAGTGCCAGGTGAGAAGCTCTATGGAAAAACAGATCAGGAAATAGGAAATTGGGGCTTGTCATGGGTTTTAAGATGGGGCTTAAGATAGGTCTCACGGAGACAGTGAAGGTAGAAGGGAAGCCATTTGAATGTCCCAGAAAGGGCGTTCAGGGTGGGGGGAACTGGGAGTGCAACGACTCTGAGGTCCTGAGGCTGGACCATACCTGGGGTGCTGCAGGAGCAAGGAGTAGGCCACTGTGGCTGAAGGGGAGGCACCCAGGGAGAAAGGGAGTAGATGAGGCCAAAATGAGACAAGATCATGAGGGTCTCTTGGGCTTCGACTCTGAGGGAAATGGGGAGCTATGGTGGGTTGTAAGCAAGAGTCACAGCCTCCCTTTATTTTCAAAGGCTCACTCTGACAATTGTGTTGGGAATAGAAGTATGGAGACCAGCCTGAAGTGCTAGCTTCACCCAACCTGGCCACAACCTAGGGGTGTTACAGTGAGAGGGCCAAGGTCAGAGAGGTTAAGCAGCTCATCCCAGCTCACTCAGCCAGGATTGCAGAGCCAGGAATGCAATCCAGGTCTCCAGCTGTTGCCTCCACCCTTTTCTGCCTGGCATGGGATGAAGGGGTGGGATCCCCTCCCCCTGCCCCAGGCCCCGGGAAAACTCCAGCTACCCTCCCCTCTCCCCCCAACTCCTGTGGGTAAAGCACCCATCCCACCATGGGGAGCACACTCCAGCTATGACTTTAGGCAAAGAGGTTCCAATAAATAGTAGCAGCTGCCTCAGAGGCTTCCATGAGATAATCTGGGAGGTGGGCAATCCTGGTGTCTGCAGAAGTTGCTGACGAGGACAGGGAGCGTGGTGAAAGCACTGCTGATGGCTTTCAGGAGGATCTGCTGTCCAGGGTGCCCAGGGGCTGCCCCTCCTCCTCTCCTCCTTCTACTCTATCAAATTCCCTCCTAGGATCAGATATTAGAACATGAACTGCAGTGACAAGCAGCTGTACCAGGAGCTCCCTAGCTCCCTCGGTGACAGCAGCAGCAGTAATCAAGTAATGAAATGCAATTACATGTTCAAACCAATCACCAATCCCTGCTGCACCTCCATAAGCACAGAGCATCCTGGGGCCTCCCCTCGTGCCTGGGCCCAGAGGCCCAATGTGGCAATACATCTGGCAGAGGTGGGAGAAATAGAGCCGGCAGAGCGCGAAAACTCAATTTATAGATTACGGTAAAGCAAGTTTATGAGCACAAACTTTCAAACTAGCCCTGCTGGGAACGAAATCCATTTCATTTGGCTCTAGCTCTGAGATGAATCACTAAGCGAATGAGGATGGCAGAGTCTCCAGGAAGAATCCTTTTGCACAGGAATGAAGAGGGACACCCAGGCCACCTCCTGAGAGATTACTGTGCATTCCCAAACATTGTAGAGGGTGGATCTCAGGGAGGGCAGCCAGGAGGTAGGGGTGACAGAATGGGCATTTCAAACACACACTTGCACCACGGATGAACCTTGAAAACCTCATGCTAAGTGAAGTAAGCACGTCACAAAAGTACTATATGATTCCACTTGTATGAAATATCTGGAGTAGTCAAAGTCAGAAGGAGAGAAAGGAGAATGGTGGTTTTGCGGGGCTGGAGGAAGAAGGAATGGGGAGTCACTGTTTAAGGGCTATAGTATTTCTGTTTGGGAAAATGAAAAAGTTCTGGAGATGGATGGTGGTGATGGCTGCACAGAATGTGAATTAATGCTATTGAACTGTACACTTAAAAATGGCTAAAATGGTAAATGTTATGTACATTTTAACAAACACACACACATCCTTAGGACTCTACCTTAGGAAAATGCTCCAAATATGGACAAAATTTCAAGCACAAGATGTTCATTGTGGCTTGTTATTATTATTATTATAGTAAAATGTCGGAGAGAGCCGGGCGCGGTGGCTCACGCCTGTAATCCCAGCACTTTGGGAGGCTGAGGTGGGTGGATCACGAGGTCAGGAGATCAAGACCATCCTGGCTAACACGGTGAAACCCCGTCTCTACTAAAAAACACAAAAAATTGGCTGGGCGTGGTGGTGGGCTCCTGTGGTCCCAGCTGCTTGGGAGGCTGAGGCAGGAGAATGCCGTGAACCTGGGAGGCGGAGCTTGCAGTGAGCCAAGATCGCGCCACTGCACTCCAGCCTGGGCGACAGAGTGAGACTCCATCTCAAAAAAAAAAAAGAAAAAAAGCAAAAAAAAAATGTTGGGAAGAAAAAGGAAACAGCAAAGTCAATTCAGATGTACCCACCAGCAGAAATATTATGCAGTCATTAAAATAGTGATTATGAAGAAATTTTAATGACCCAGGAAATAATTACCATGGCATGGTAATTATATGAAATGATGTGCCACATTATAAATCTCTTCTGCAACAAGGTCACCCAGTAAAAATGAATAGAGATCGGGCCAAAATGGTGGCCTGGGGTCACATTCTGCCTCTTCCCAATACAAAACCCTAAAAGTAACATAAACACTTTTTTAAAAATCCATAGCAGTGCTGAAAAACCAGAATGGGGTTCTTTCCTGCAGGAGCTGGATTTTTTAAAAAAGAAGAAGAATGAGGTTCTTACTAGGGCAGGAATCATGAAGAATGCTTGCAAGGCAGAAGGTTGATGGGTTCGGATTGGAAATGGTACCACAGGGCAAAGCATATCCGGGAGAGGGCTGCCATGAAGCTGGCAGCTCCAATCTGGGAAGCCCAGCAAGTGAGGACCCAGAAGAAGCCCCAAATCAAATGTGAGGGTGGCTGGCAGGGCCATGATGCCAAGCAGTGACCTGCAAAAGCAACTGCCCGCAGGCAGAAGCAGGGAGTAGGGGAGACAGCCCTCGAGTGGCAACAACACACAGGAGGTCAGTGGAGCCCATACCCAAAGACTGGGATCTGCTCCAGCTGGCACAACAGTGCAGAGCTCTTCCCATCCAGTATGTGAGTTCAGCCTCACAGATAGGACAACAGAAACCTTCAAACACAAAGACAAGCAGGCAACCCAGAATCACCCACCTTATTAAGAAGATTACACGTCGAAAGAGGCACACCAAACTCATCTGCTAAACGAACGCACCCCTGAGGACTTGGGTACTAGGACAAGCAGAATGACACTTTGAACGAGAAAACAGAGAGAGGGGAGAGGCTATCACATCCATTTAAAACGAATGAACTAGATCTGGGAACCAAACATTTCATCATTAAAGTTTAAAAAGGGGCTGAATAGCAGCATGGAACAGATGAAGATCAAATTAGTCACCTAGGGGGCTGAAACAGGAACTCTCCCAGATGGCACAAAAACCCAGAGATGGAAGGATAAAAGTAAATTAAAAGACATGAAGGATATAAGCTCCAACCACCACCTAAAAGGAATTCCAAAAAGAGACCTGAGAGAATATGGGAAATTAGAAAAGAAAATGCAGAAACACACAAGTCCTCAGATTGACAGAACCTACCACATGCAAAGTAGAATTATGTTTTGTTGTTGTTGTTGTTGTCGTTGTTGTTGTTGTTGTGACAGATTCTTGTTCTGTTGCACAGGCTGGAGTGCAGTGGCATGATCTCGGGTCACTGCAACCTCCACCTCCTGGTTCAAGTGATTCTCCTGCCTCAGCCTCCCAAGCAGCTGGGACTAGAGGCACACGTCACCATGCCCAGCTAATTTTTGTATTTTTAGTAGATGTGGGGTTTCACCAAGTTGGCCAGGCTGGTCTCAAACTCCTGACCTCAGGTGATCCACCCACCTTGGCCTCCCAAAGTGATGGGATTACAGGTGTGAGCCACCTTGCCCGGCCTTGAATTATTTTTTTTTAAATAAAAATAAATAAATAAATAAATAAATAATAAAAATAAATATTGGGCACAGAGTGGTGAAATTTCAAAATCCAAGGGACAGCCAGGCACGGTGGCTCATGACTGTAATCCCAGCACTTTGGGAGGCCAAGGCAGGCAGATCACTTCAGGCCAGGAGTTCAAGACCAGCCTGACCAACATGGTGAAACCCCGTCTCTACTAAAAATACAAAAAAAAAAAGCTAGGTGTGGTGCCGCACACCTGTAATCCCAGCTCCTTGGGATGCCGAGGCAGGAGAATCACTTGAACCTGGGAGGTGCAGAAGTTGCAGTGAGCTGAGATCGCACCACTGCACTCCAACCTGGGTTACAGAGCAAGACTCTATATGAAAAAGAAAACATAAAAATCAAAGGGAGAAAGGAAAAATGCCAAATTATCCCAGAAAACAACACAGCCTGCCTACAGAGGAGCAGAAGCTGCAGCAGTAGATGGCAACTTCTCGAGAGCCGGGGTGGCCTCTTTCCTAGCTGAAGGGATGTGGGGCTTCTCTTCACTCAGCCTCACTTTCTCTGCCTGTTAAGTGGGGAGCAGCCCCGACCTCACAGAGTTGTCAGCAGAATTAAATGACTTACTATGTATAAAGCACTGGTGCAGAGCACACACTGTATTTGACTTAGCAGTCACTGTTCCTGAGGACATGGATGCATACAAGTCAATGAAACAATATCTCCAAAGAGCTTAGGAGAGAAATGGCATAAACCTTAAATTCTCTACTCAGCTTTTAGGAAGGAAACAGGCATTTTCAGAAATGTGAAGATACAGAAAATTCACCACCACAAACCCTCTTGGAAAGAATTACCAAACGGTATGCTCCAGCAACCACAAAAATGAATCCAGAGAGCAGAGAAGTGAGTGGCTGCCAGCGGCCGGGGGAGTGGAAATTGGAGTGACTGCTCAATGGGTACAGGGTCTCTTCTCAGGATAATGAAAATGTTCTGGAATTAGGTAGTGGCAATGGTTGCACAACATCGGAATGTACTGGAAGTCACTGAAGTGTATACTTTAAAATGGTTAAAATCATGTGATGTGCATTTTACCACAATTTTTAAAAATGAATCAAAGAACATAATGTGGAATGCAAAAGCAGTAGTGAGAAAAAACTAAAACTTATCATTAAAACTTTATTGAGGCCCAGCATGGTGGCTCACACCTGTAATCCCAGCACTTCGGGAGGCCAAGGTGGGCGAGTCACTTGAGGTCAGGAGTTTGAGACCAGCCCAGCCAACATGGTGAAACCCCATCTCTACTAAAATTACAAAAATTAGCTGGGCATGGTGGTGCACACCTGTGGTCCCAGCTACTCAGGAGGCTTAGGCAGGAGAATCGCTTGAACCCAGGACGCAGAGATTGCAGTGAGCCGAAATTGTGCCACTGCACTCCAGCCTGGGTGACAGAGTGAGACTCATCTCAAAAAAAAAAAATTGGTTTTTATTAACTATTAAAATTTGGAACTAAAATCCCAGCTGGCCTCATGTTAGGTAGTGATACAGCTCGGGGCAGAAGGACATTGAGGCATAGAAAGGTCTCAATTTGTTCCAGGAGACACTGATTATACGTTGAGAGACACGTGTAAACATAAAGGTATCTTTAACATATAAGCAGTCACTAGAAAAACAAACATGTAATGTATTATTGAACCCTTAGTGGATGGCTCTCCACTGGGAGAAAGGGGGAGGGGACTTTTTGGTTGTCACAAGACGGTTGGAGTCTGCTGTAGCTTAGTGTCCAGGGTGAGGGATGCCAAACGCCCTGTGGTGCAGCAAAGACTCCCACAGCCCAAGGAACAGTCCCACCCAAAGGACACAGGGCCGCTGTTGAGAAAACTGCTTTAAGGAACAAAAACCTGGACAAAGAAAACACAGTTGATTCAATAAAAGGCAGGAAAGGGCAAAAGTAGCACAAGAAAGCATAGCAAACAAGAAACACAAAATAAAATGGCAAGGAAAAGTCCAGGCATATCAATCATCTCAATAAAAGTAAATAGATTAAGTTATGCTAATAAAATCTTCAAAAAAAAATGAGATTTTTTTCATCATGACATAACTTTTTTTTTTGACATAACTTTTTACAAAAGATACAAAACAAACACCCAGGAAGGTTCAAGATAATAGGATGAGAAAAACAACACCTAGCAAAAAATAACCAGAAAAAGGGGCTGTTTATCAGACAAAATAGAATTCAAGGTGGAAGCACTCAAAGGAACAGGGAGAGTTCATTTTGATAAAAGACACCATCTACACCAAAAATATAAGTCATGACACTATATGAACCTTGCAACACAGCTTCAAAATAGATAAGGCAAAATTAACAATAATTGAAGGGGAAACCAACCAATCCACAATCTTAAAGATGATTTTAACATTTTTCTTTCAGATTCAGTGAGCAAAAAATAATATGAAAGATTTGCACATCTCACTTGTATACGTTTACCTAACAATATTGTATTAAATACTTACATTCTAAGTTCTGGTTTAAAGTTCTGCATATATTAACTAATATCATCCTTACACACTACCATGAAGTAGGCACTACTGTCCCACGCATTGTACACAATGAAACTGATTTCCAGCAACTCACTCACCATCCTGCGGCCAGCAGGAGGCAGGGCTAGGGTTCCAGTCAGGAACTGGCCCCAAAGCCCGTACACTCAACCTCCACTTATGCTCCCTCTCGAGACCCAAAAGAGACAGCACAGTCTTCCATGTACACCCAACTTTCCACAGTATAAATCTCAGTAAAATCCTTAAGAAAAAGGTATTCAAAAATTCATTGTGCATTAATGAAGTCCAATGCAATAAGACCAGGAATTAACAATAAAAGAAACCTCCTTCCCAATCTATCTACTTAGAACACTTAAAACATTCTTTTTTATACCTGCTGGCTTAAAAGAACATAACAAGAGAAATTTCAAACTATTCAGAAATTAATTTGAATTGAGCACCTATTGGAATGTGGCTAAAATCATACTCTTTGTAAAATTCTTGGTAAACTAGGGATCAAAAGTAACAACCCTAACCTGATAAAGGACATCTCCTAGAAACCTACAACAAGCATCACACTTAACTGGGAAACTGTAGAATGTTCTACCACTAAAAATATTTAGCATTGTCCCAGACAACGTGACAGCACCTGAAAAAGAAATATGGACAAGTGTTGAAAAAGGACAGACAAAATTGACATAATTTGTAGCAAATATAGGTATCTACCTATGAACTCCAAGAGAATTAACTAATAAACTATTGGAACTCATACAAGAGTTCAGCAAAACTCAAGGATATAAAATCAATATGCAAAAATCAATAGCTTTCGTGTATGGGAGCACTCCCAATTAGAAAATGTAATCTAAAAGAAAGCTCATTTGTATTAGAAATAAAATCAATAAAATCCCTGGGGATAAACCTAGTAAGAAATGGGCAGGACCTACACAAAGAAAAACATACAACTTTACTAAAAGCATTAAAGAGACCCAAAATAAATGGGGAGACACACTATGCCCCGGGTTGGTAACTGTTCATATTATGAAGATGGGAGCTCCTGCCTTATCTATGTATTCAAAGCACCCACTGACAGACATATATTTTCATGTATAATTGCCAACAGTAGTGGATGAGAAGTAGCTAGTGTCTACTCACAAGAATTGCATGTGTTTACTGAGCACTTATTTACCTAATCAAATGTATGAAAGTTTGAAGAAGGGTAAAACGGTCTGAACCACATGAACAAATTCTGAAAAATCGGAGGGAAACTTTAATGAAAAAGTAGAAGGCAGCTCAAATCGTCCATAAGACCAAAATTAAAATTTAAAGCCATAGAGAGACCAAAGAGCATCAAATAAAGAGAAGAACAATTTGCCATTGGAAGAGAAGCAATGGAGTACTGTTGGACCAAGCAAATGGTGCCAGGTTGCAATAATCAGGGAGCTGAAGTCCCATGGATGCACATAATGTCGGAGGTGTGGGCCACAGCTGTGGGCACATCACGTGGTAAATTGGAGACAAGAGTGGAGCAGGTGCCAGGTTACCCAGGAGGAAACCAGCCAAGTGGGGCCCTAAAACAAGAACACATTTTTAAAAGAATTTTATTTTGGCCAGGCGCAATGGTTCGCACCTGTAATCCCAGTACTTCAGGAGGCCGAGGCGGGTGGATGACCTGAGGTCAGGAGTTCGAGACCAGCCTGGCCAACATGGTGAAACCCTGTGTTTACTTAAAAAAACAAAAATTAGCCAGACATGGTGGCAGCGACTGTAATTCCAGCTACTTGGGAGGGTGAGGCAGGAGAATCACTGGAACCCAGGAGGCAGAGGTTGCAGTGAGCCGAGATTGCACCACTGCATTCCAGCCTGGGCGACAGAGCAACACTCCATCTCAAAAACAACAACAAAAAGAATTTGATTTCAAAGTAAGTCATCCTGCGAAAATGAACACCTTTGTTGGACATCCTTACATTTATGCTATAGTTTACTGCTGTTGTTATTTTGAGTTAGATATGGAGCCTAAAATCCCACTGCTTAGAGGATCCAAGGGTCTTGCTGTAACACTGGTTATATATTAGTTATCTCTACCCAGCATGCCCTCATCAGGACGGCAGACTTTACTCTGCCCACTGCCAGAGACCCCACCATTGGACAACAGCATCTTAAAGAATTTCCCCAAGCAGCCAAAAAGCAGAGCAAACCCACATGAGAACAATAGCACTCACAATCAATCAATGCCAATATTGAGTCATGGACACCTATATACTGCTCTTTCGGAAGTTTTATCACTGAGCTCATTAAATGCTGTATCTTACTGGAGAAGAATGCCATTGTTAATTGTGTTTGCAGTGAACTCTTAGGATAAATAAATTAAACAAGATGATATTTCTGTTAACAAGATCTGCTAGAACTGCATGTGTTAGGTAGAAGAGAAGGCTCACAGTAATTAGGGAAATGGAAAAGAAAATAACAATGAGGTACCGCCTATCAGCCATTGGACTGACAAAAATTAAGACTGATAATATCAAGTGTTGGCAAGAATGTGAAAAAGTGGGTGCTCTTCTTACCCTGTCGCTGGGTGTGCAAATTGATTCCACTTTCTGGAAGACAATTTGGCAGAAGCCATTTTTAAATTAAATGTGCATGTTATTCAGACAAGCAATTCCACAACTTAGAGTCCACCTAGATACATAGGCATATATAAGGATTTCCATGACAATATGGTTTGTTATTGTGCAAATTAAAAACAACCTAACTATCTATTAAGGGGGGGTATCTGTTAAATATGTATTCACAGTTTCATGTATGTCATGAAACTCTGTTTGAAATGTGGTGGATTTATATGAAATAGCACAGCAAGCTCACCAAGACATTGGTGCATGAAAAGAAGCAAGTGCAGTAAATAGGTGTAGTCAGCATTATTTATATATACAAAACACACAAAAAGAAAGCAAAACTCCTTATTCTGTTATGTGTGTAGGTTACATTTCTCTAAATGTAAACACAGAGGGAAAGTTCTGCTGGAATATAGAGCAAGCTGATTTCAGTTTTCCCTCTGAGGCAGGAAACGGGCCTTTTGTTTCTTTTAATTATTTCTTCAGTCTTTCATAATGAGATGTGTTTGTGTATTATTTGTGACATTTAAAGAAATAAAAGTGTTAAAGTTGAAGGCTGAAGACAAAATTGAGTGAATGGTATGCGCTCAGCCATGTGAAGAAGTCTGCAAGAGGAGAGGCTGGAAGCCATGAGCAGCGGTGCTCTGCATGGCTGGGTTCCTGGCAGCATTTATCTTGCCAGGTACCGAAGCACTTTCATGGGCTTTTCCGCATGTCCTCATTTTTCCGTGATCCTCGCATATTGCTTTTACAATCAGAAAAATTCAGGAAGCACTTTTATGTGCAGCTGGCTGGTGCCCCACTCTCCATTAAGGAGAGGTTCCCTATAGATTATCTCACATCCCCAGAAATGATTCACAGGTCAAGAGTGAGCCTTGGAACTCTATGTGTGCTTGGCAAGAACCCCGTTCCCCCCTCCACCCCCACCAACATGCTCAGACTCACCTTTCCTGTAAGCTGTGAGACTCCCAGGACTTGGGGACTCTGCATGAGGCCCTTTAGCTCTAAGGCCCTCCCAGGACCCCCGGGTCACCCCACCCCCAGCCTCTACCTCCCTGTATAGCACTTGACAAGAGAGTAAGTCCAAGACCTGGGATTTTGAGGGCTGAACTGGGGACACCCAAGGCTATAAGGACTGAGTGTCTTTCAAGCCCAAAAGCCCTGTCACTATGGGCTGGGTGACCATATCCAAGAAGGCCAGGAGGAAAGCAAAGCCCTGGCTCAGAGAAAGAAGCAGGGGTGTGAGACAAATATCCGCCAGCATTGCCTCCCACATGCAGGGACAGCTTCAGGGCATCCCTCCCGAGCCCTCTAATGTAAAGTGATAAAGCGGCTGCCTGGTTCCCTTGCCCTGGCCAGCCCCGCTGACCACAGACATGCATGCTGCCTGCTGCAGGGTCCACAAGGTTGCCTTGGCCAGGCTGCCTCTCCCCAGCTGTCATACCATGGGCCCTCCTCTAGGGCCCTCCAAGGCAAGTGAACATGCTGTGGTTACAAACAACCGCCAACCCCAACTAGCCAGATGTCTACAGCCCATGTGGTTACTGGGTGAATACCCCAATATGCCTCCATGGAAGCCAGGAGGAAGGGGGCCCGCTGATGTCCATGGACCAGAGCCTGAGAAGGGCTTTGGCAAGGAGCCCCCTGCCTACTGGTGAAAGGATAGGGGTGGGCCGAGTGTGCAGACTCCCTCAGCTGGCAATGAGAGAATGACCCAAATGACCTTTCTGAACATATATGCTACCTTCTGTGACCATCCCCTGGTCCACACTCACTGACTGACCCCTGACCCCCAACCAGCCAACTGGCAGAACCCAGAGGTCCCAGACACAAAGTCTCAGCAGAAGGGCCCTGCTGGGGGTCTCTGCTCAAATTGGCCTGCCAGTCTACCCCTGCTCATGCTCTGGACAACTCAGAATCCAACCCCAAGGACCCAGAGCCTGGATCTTCCTTATGAAGTTGGAGGTGGCCACCTCCCTTGAAGCAAACCAGGCCACATCACAGTTTGGCATCACTGGTGCCCTTCCAGGCCAGCCTGTGAGGCCAAGCATGACCCACCCCAGATACTGACCACCACAGCCCTCTCCTCAGCTCCTGTGCCACTTCCCACACTCTGATCTCGAGGATGGGCTCCCTCCCTGCATGCTGAGCTAGCCAGCAGGACTTTCCTCCCCTCATTGCCTCCCCACAAAGTCCTTCCCCTCCCCCATCCCAGTAGCGTCAGGCATCAGGGCCTGTATCATGGACGAGACCGTGACTCCCCCAGGGCAGGAGCGCATCTCTGTTTCCTCTGCATCCCCAGCCCCGGGGAGGGCCTCAGCCCTTCCTGCTGACCCCAGACTCACCATTCCCATCTCGGGGGTGGTTCACACCCTTCCCTCTTGCAGTGCGCCAATTTCCCTTCCTCCCTACCTTCTTACCAGCCTTCCTTGGGGCTCCTCTCCCCTCAAGCTCCTCAGGCAGGCAAAGGAGGCCTCTGCAGAAGGCAGGAGGTCCTGGCCACCCCACAAGTTTGGACGCTGGGTCCAGCAGGCTGGCAATGCCACCAGGGCTGGACACGTTTCCCTCTTTCAGTTCCCCTCCAGCAAGCCCACCCACAGCCCAGGGCTCAAGACAGATGGCCAGGAGCAGACCCCTGGAGACTGCACAGTCACATTGATGGTGGATGCGCCCATTTCCAAGCCCTGACCAAGCACCGGGAACAGCATCTCACCCCGTTCTTGCCCCAACCACAGGCTGCCATCAGGATCCGTCCCCACAGCGCCGAGCAGCAAGTAGAGGCCAAGATCACCTTCATACTTTGTGTGAGGCCACATAGCCAGGAAGAGGAGAAGCTAGAAAATAATCCTGGTGTGGCTCACAGCAAATCTCAGGTGAGGCCAGATGCCGAGGGAAGTAGGTTTCCTGGCAAATACAAGCCACATAAGACAGGAGCAGCACGTCCAGGAAGCCCGCTGCACATGGGCACACCACAGACCTGGTACAACTGCCCTGGCAGGTGATGGCTCATCTCACAGACGTCACCTTGCAGGAGCTTAGCCTCAGAGAGCTAGGGGACCACAGCAAGTTCCCGCAGCCAAGGGGCAGGAGGGCCTGGAGGCCAGGACTAGTGAGCAAGGAAGGAACAGGAAGGGCAGGCTGCATGCCCCAGGCCTCCCCAGGAACACCATGAGAGAAGGGCCACCAGGGTCCCACCATAAACAATCCAGGGAGGCTGTGGCAGGGATGGCACATGCAGGAGGCATCTGGAAGCCCATCGCTGATCATCGTCACCCATGTAGAGCTGCTGGCTTGGCCTGGCCCACGGGATGTGTTGCTAATTCCACCTTTCCCCCATCCCTCACCTCTCTGCCAGCCGCCCAGAGTATCATGGCCTCTTTAAGTGGCTCCTAGGTTCTCACTGGGCATTCCAGCCTTGGACTCCCATGCTAGACAGCCCTGGCTGGGGCAGGAGGCACACAGAGCCGTCCTGACAGGGCCTCCCAGCCTGCAGAGCCCCCCTTCCCCAACTACCCAGGGAGGCCACTACCTGCTGAGCCTGAGCAGCTCCGTGTGCAGCCAAGGGGGTGGCCCAGAGCAGTATGTGGGCTTGGTAGCAATTGTGATGCCCCCACCCTCTCCACAAGGTGTACAAAGTGCCCACAACCCCATTGGAAGCTGGAGGGCTGGAGTCAACACAGTGCCAGACATTCCACCAGTGCCCTCCACTGGACAGGGCTGGAGAGACAGAGACTCCTAGTCTCCCCAAAACACTGACTTGGGACCCCAGGAGCAGGGGGAACAGAAAGAGTTCAGACTTTGGGGTCACCAAGCCTGGGTCCCCAGCTCAGCAGTCACTTCTATCCCAGTTCTGGTCCCTGGGGCAGGTACCAAGTGTCTGAGTTTCCATTTCCTCATCTGCAGACAAGTTGCCATGAGAAACATACACCTACTGCTAGTAACTGGTCTGGCACAGAACAAGCGCTCAGTAAAAGCAAAGCCACTGCCTATTCTCCAGTGATGAGCATCCAGCCGCTGTCTCTGCCAGGTCAGACTGGGAACTGTATGGTGTGCAGAGATGTATCAGACACGGGCCTACTGCCTGAGACACTGGCCATCCTGTTGGACAGGAATGACACAGAAAGCAGAAACCGACAGTCAGGACAGACCAGACGGAGGCTGCAGGGCTCAGGGCACGCCTGCAACACCACAGCACCTGCCAATGTGAGACCATTCATTTCAGAGATGGGAAACCCCGAGTCCAGGCCAGGGGTGACTTCCCCGAGGTCATGCAGCTGGCCAATGGCAGGGTGGGGCCCAGAGGGGCCGTCCCTGGCCTCTCCACCCCCATGGCTGGATTGGCTTCCTAACAGCCCCTCCTTGACCCCTCCAGAATCCAGGCCAACTTCCTGCTGGAGGAGGGGGCTGCCCCAGGACGGTGAAGGGAGGGCAAGAACAGCCCCTGGAGAGGAAGAGGATGCATTCCTGAAGGAGAATTCTAGACGGACCCCCTAGGATTCAGCGGCATGAGGTATGAAGGGTCCAACCCTCTCCCTGCAGCTCAGAACGCCTCTGAAGGGCCACTCAGCCTCAGAGCTCCCAGGGGTCTGCTGGGGCTTCCCCTGGGATGGCCTCTCACCCCTTGGCTTGTGTCCTGCCTGGCCTGACTCCTTTCCCTGCCTTCCCCAGGTGAAGATCCCAATGTCACCCCCAATAAGCCTCCTAAAAGCCAAACTCCCACTTGAACTCAGCTCCCTGGAATTGACACTGTGTCCCAGGCCCCTGCCTCATCCCCTCTGGGGCTTCCTTCCCTGCCTTCCCACAGTGACTCCCGAAGTGATGCCTCCAGCACACCCCTCTCCTCCTGAGGCTTCACCCAGGTCCCCCAAGTACCCCAAACTCCATGGTCTACACCGACCTCACATCTTCCCCTGCTCCTCCCTGACTCCTCATCTCAAAGATGGCCTCCCTGAGGCCCAAGCGTAGACGTGACCTTCACCCTGATCTTCCCCTTCCCTCACTCCAATACCCAGAAGCCAACCTCCAAGCTCCTGCTCTGACCTTCACACAGCCCCTCCTCGCTTCTCCGCCTGGCTGCACCATCAGCCTGTCCAGCCCACCTTCCACCAGGGTGGCCTCCCAGAAACACAAACCCATCACATCACCCCCAGCTTCAAATCCTTCCAGCTCCTCTCTGCTATCAGTATGAGGTCCAGCTCCTGCTCCTGGGAGACCCACCTACCACTCAAACCTCCAGCCTCATCTTCTACCAAATCTCCCATCAGGCCAGTGCTCCAGCAAACCACCAGGCACTCCCTGCACACCCCACAGATGGAGGTTTCTCATCTCTGCTTAGAATGCCATCTCCCACCACCATCTCTTATCTCTCATCTTAGGCAACCTGGTCAACTCCTATCCACATTTCAAAACCCCAACTAAAGTGTCTTTCAGGAAGCCTTCCCTAACTTCACTAGAGAGCAAAACTTTCCTGCCAGTCTATGCTGCTTCTAGGATAATTTCCCATTTATTCCATGAACTATAAATATTTGTTTCCATATCTATACTTTCCCCACTAGACTGGGAACATTTTGAGGAAAGGAGTTGTGCTGGAGCCATCCTGGAATCCCCTGCATTTAGCAGAGAGCCTGCCTTGCAGCAAGCTGTGAACAAATGTTTGTTGAAAGTACAGTTGACACTTGAACAATGAGAGGTTGGGGCGCTGACCCCTCATGCAGTCAAAAATTTGAGTACAACTTTTGACTCCCTAAAAACTTAACTACTAATAACCCACTGTTGACCGGAAGCCTTACTGATACCATAAACAGTCTATTAACACATATTTGTGCATGTTGAATGTATTATATACTGTATTCTTACAATAAACTAGAGAAAAGAATCATAAGGAAGAGGGAAAGTATATTTACTATTCCACTATTAAGTGGAAGTGGATCATCATAAAGATCATCATTCTTGTTGTCTTCACATTGAGTAGGCTGAGGGGGAGGAATAAGAGGGGCTGGTTATGCTATCTCAGGGTTGGGAGAGGAGAAAGAAAATCCTTGTGTAAATGGACCTACACAGTTCAAACCAATGCTGTTTAAGGGTCAACTGCATAGCTGAATGAATAAATGAATCAACCCACTAGCACTAGATGCCAGCCGCCACCCCCTCCCTTCTCTCCTCTTCCCTCAAGCTGTGCGCTGCCTGGCCAGGGGAAGCCCCTCACCTCCTACATCACTCATGGCAAAGGCTGCCTCCCCACACCTGGCCCCCTAGTCCCCTGGCCTATCCATCTGCTTGACTAATGAATAGAACAAACTGTGTTCCATTTCCGGGGACTATGCCTGCCTTAAACTGCTTTGAAGAGCATAGCACCTGCTCACATATCAATTAAAATTATAATTAGGTGGTGAGAGTATATAATTAAAATAACACGTTCCATCTCCCTCATTTACTGCTGCTGCTGGCTGTCTAGATGAAGTGAAGCAGTTCCCAGAGTGGATGGGGGTGGGGATCGCCTTTGTCTCCGCATGCACCATGCTTTCCTTCCAGGTGTCTCTTCTGGCACAGAAAGCAGATCCCCAAGGTTGCCCTAAGCAACCCAAGTGAAAAGGGTTTTCTGTCACTTGCTCAATTATGACTAACGCTCCTTGCCTGGTTATGGTTCGTGTCACATGTCAGACTTTTTCAGGCCTCCACACCTTTTTACCTGAAGTAGAAGAAAGGCATTTAGGGCTATCTGTCTAAATGCCCTTCTTCTACTGTATGCATAAGAAACTCCTACTCATCCTTCAAAACCCAATTCTGACTTTCATCTGTGCTGGGTTCTGGGGACATAGGGGAGAAAAATGCAGTCCCTACTTCAAGGCACACACAATGCTGGGCATAATCATCCCCATGTTCCAGAGGAGGAAACCGAGGCTCCCTGATAATGGACCATGGTTGGGAGGCTGAGGATGTGGCCGGGTCTGCAGAGCCCTCCCACAGCCTCAGTCCCTCCCCACTTCCAGAACACAGGCCTGTTAAATCCACTGCCATCTCCTGGCCAGCCAGCGGTGCTGGCAGGTAAACCTGTCAAGTGGCATGTCCTGCTAAACAAGAATAGGAGTGTGGTTTGGGAGGAGCCATTTGCTGCTGCATGGTGCTTTGCAGAGATTTTGCTCAACCAGGAGATATGCCCACCACCTAGCACATCCTGCTGTAATATTTATGAAGTCCCATTTTGGCAGAGCATAGGGGAAATCACTCCTTGCCTTTTAAAATTAAACTCACTTAGACTTTCATTGCTATAACCATTAAAACCAGAGTGTTAGCTACTGTCGGCTCCTCCGAGTTGATTTGCAGCCAGCCAGGGCTGCCTTATCCCTCTGCCTCCTCCAGGATGCCAGGTGGGGGAAAGACTCACAGTTATTGAGTACCTCCCAGGTGCTGGGCACTCTGTGGGGTATTTTACCTATGCTGCCTTGGCATTTCCAAAATGGGCTTTGCAAAGCACTAATTACACAGGATGTTAATAGGTGCTCTGCCAAATAAAGTTCCATGTTCAACTGAGCCTGCAAACACTGAGCTCACAAAAGTTAATGGGCTTCTTTACTGCAGGACTTCTCAGAGCCTTAAATATGCTGATGTATGTGGTGATGTCCTCAAGAGAAGCATCTGGCTGGGTCATATGTATTTGGCCACAGAGGCTGTTTTCTCCTGCAATATTCAGTAAAATCAGTTGTACAGAATTCAATCTGGGACATACTGCTCTATTCTTCCCCAGCCTGGAAAGTGGCCATTGCTGTCCCTATTTTAGATATGAAGAAACACACTCATGAGGTCTCTCTCATTCACTGCTATATCCCCTGCATCCAGCATGGAGACCTCCACACAGCAGGCCCTTGACAAACAGCTGAGAGCTATATGAAGAGATGCCCAGCCAATGGCCATGGAGGGGAGAGCTGGGACAACACTCTGAAAGTATCTGACTCTTTCAAACTCCTCACACTTCCCATGGCCACTTCTCTAAAGCTCATGAAAGAACCCCTCTCCAACCTGCCCCACAACTGGGTAGACTGTGAAGGGACTGGGTATGCAGGAACCTGGCCTGGTCCCAACACAGGGTAAACCCTTAGAGGGGCCCTCTCACCCTAGTCCAGCTGAGTATGGTTTCCATGGGGCCTAACCAGCCAGTGAAGGGGCAGGAATCCAGGAGTCACATGAACATCACACCTGTTGATCCCAAACATTGAAGACAGAAGGGCGGCAGGGGCTGCTCCACTCCACCTTTCTGAAGGCTGTGTCTCTATCACAGACAACTCCAGGTTGCTCTCCTAGGAGTCTGATCACTGGACTTACTTGTCCAGTGTTGTGTCTAAGAAGGAGATTGTTTCACAGTGTTTGCAATAAAATGTACACAATAACACATAGAAACACTAATAGGGTGCACAATGGCAGAGGCAGAGGCTAAAGGCTGATCACTGTAATCCCCAGCCCCTGGCCAAGCACACGCTTAGGAATTGGACAGGATTTCATGATGGAATGGAAGAACCGTGACATCCAGGAAACAGAAGGCTGGGAGTGGGGGCCTCTAAGGATGTCAGTGCTCCTTGCAGCAGTGGCACCCTGAGCTCCGGGTCTCCTCTAGAGCCCAAGCAGGCAGCTGAAGAAGAAATACAAGTGTATGTCCACAACCCGGCCTCCTCCACGGTGACAATTAACGCTGTTTCCCACCATCACCCGGTCCACACCTCCCCATACCCCTGCCGTCCTCTGGGTGCCTGGAACCCCGTGGTGTCCCCACCCAGTAGGCTCCAGGGCTGGTTTTCATATCAGGTACTAAAGCGCAATGATTAGGTGACAAACCTCATTTGCCAGAAGGCAACACGCAGAGTCATAACCAGACCTGGCTCCATGGGAACATGGCTATAAATTGTTTCTGACAGTTGTGTTATTTCATGTAAGCGTCGCCCACTCATCTGTAGGCATTTCCAGAAAGACCCTGAGCCCTGCTGACTGCCTGGCCCACTATTTTTTTTTTTTTTGAGACGGAGTCTCGCTCTGTCGCCCAGGCTGGAGTGCAGTGGCGCGATCTCGGCTCACTGCAAGCTCTGCCTCCTGGGTTCACGCCATTCTCCTGCCTCAGCCTCCCGAGTAGCTGGGACTACAGGCGCCCGCCACCAGGATGGCTAGTTTTTTGCAGTTTTTTTTTTTTAGTAGAGGCGGGGTTTCACCGTGTTAGCCAGGATGGTCTCGATCTCCTGACCTCGTGATCCGCCCGTCTCGGCCTCCCAAAATGCTGGGATTACAGGCATAAGCCACGGTGCCCGGCCAGCCTGGCCCACTCTCTATCTGACCGACTCATCGAACAACACTAACCACAAGCCAGCCAGCAGGAACGCAGCCCATCCCCTGTTAGGGAGGCCCCCCACGAGCCCACCGGCCACTCCAACCTGCATGTAGGCAGGACAGGACCAAAGGCTGCCTGGGAGAGTGGCTGTGCCGCCCCAGGCAGGAGCTGGGAGGCTTTGATCCTTGACTTTGTGCGCTCAGGAGTCTGTAGCCCGGGCCTTCCCACAGGGACACCATCCTGTAAGGGGCAGACAGCTTCCAACCACACTGGGCCCCAGCTACAACACCACAGAAAGCCAGCACTCGGGGAGGCACTGACCCTCCCACGTCCTGAAATCGGGGAACTCCCATCAGTAGGGGTGGCCTAGACAGCCTGAAAACCACAAGGGAGAACCCCAGAGGTCAATGTCTACAGCCACCAAGGAAGAACTGCTCCTCGTGGTGGCCTGGAAGTTACAGTTCTGAATGTCCAGCGCAGTTTATTTGCTCACCTTATCCTGCTAACAGCCTTTCTCTTCCCTTTGGGAACTTTTTTTTTTTTTTTTTTTTTTTTTTTGAGATGGAGTCTTGCTCTATCCCCCAGGCTGGAGTGCAGTGACATGATCTCGGCTCACTGAAACCTCGGTCTCCCAGGTTCAAGTGATTCTCCTGCCTCAGCCTCCCGAGTAGCTGGGATTACAGGCGCCCGCCACCACACCCGGCTAATTTTTGTATTATTAGTAGAGACAGGGTTTCGCCATGTTGGCCAGGCTGGTCTCAAACCCCTGACCTCAGGTGATCCATCTGCCTCGGCCTCCCGAAGTGCTGGGATTACAGGCGTGAGCCACCGTACCTGGCCTGGAACTTCTTTCTAATTCCACCTGGTTTTGGAAAGAAGTGAGACACGTGGCTTGGGCTGGCCAATGAAAATACTCCTCCCTGATAACACTGATTGGCTCTTGGATGGGCACATGACCCAGGCTGTGCCCGTCAGGATACTCCCATCCCTGGTAACACTCATTGGTTCATGGATAGGCACATGACCCAGGCTGGGCCAATCAGGATATCCATTCCCTTGTTGCACTGATTGGTTCATGGATAAGCACATGAACCAGGGTGGGCCAATCAGAGTCCTCTGAAGACCTCTTTCCCCTCGAGTGGAAAGGGAATGTGGTCTTTTCTCTGCCATTTTTGCTAAGCCCGAATAGTGGATGACGTGGAAGGAGCCTGTACAAAATGAAGTCAAGCAGAGCCACAAAGAGATACTCTACAGCCCCGAATCCAGCCTGCCCTGAATCCCCTTTTGGCAAAGGCCAGGGTGAATTGGATCTTTGTCCTGTACAACCGAAGAAACCACAGCTGGAATTCATTTGGGAAACTTGCTGGTCCCTCCCACCTAAGAGTCCACAGTAACAGCCCCCCAGGGGAGGGGGGAGTCTCGCTCTATCCCCCAGGCTGGAGTTCAGTGGCGCAATCTCGGCTCAATGCAACCTCCGCCTCCCGGGTTCAAACAGTTCTCCTGCCTCAGCCTCCCGAGTAGCTGAGATTACAGGTGCACACCACCACACCCAGATAATTTTTGTGTTTTTAGTAGAGACAGGGTTTCGCCATGTTGGTCAGGCTGATCTTGAACTCCTGACCTCAAGTGATCCGCCTGCCTCGGCCTCCCAAAGTGCTAGGATTACAGGTGTGAGCCACCGCGCCTGGCTCCCATTTTAATTCACACAAATACCCTGGGTATTTAATTCACACAAATACCCTGGGTGGCAGGGCCTATGTTTATCCCCATTTTATAGATGAGGAAAGTGAAGCTCAGAGAGCTTCAGTAAGTTGCTCAAGGTCAAAAACTAGTCGGTGACAGAGCTGGGGTTCAGATCCAGCTGGTCTGCCTCCAAAGTGCTATCTCTCACCTCCTCTCTCAATTCAAAGGCAAGCTCCACGTACCATGTCCACCCTGAACCCCAGCACCCAACACAGTGCCTGGTGCCTGGCCCAAACAAGACACCAGTGAACATCTGTGAAGTGAACAAATGCTCTCTGCCCTGCCACACCTGGACATCTCCTAGGAGCCTCCCAGGAATCCTGCACTTTCGAGAAACATCTCCTGAGCTGCAAGGGAAGGCAGGGGAGGAGGAGGAGGAGGTATGGGGTGAGAGAAGCCACCAAGGCTGGCAGAGGCCAGGCCAGGGCACCTCAAAGCCCCATGCGGGAAGCCTGGGGATTGGCACGGGCCTGCCCATGGGGAGTGGATTCGGTGATTACCCAGTGCTGGCTCCACCTACACTAATTAACTTGCAGCTCCCAGGGGTGTGGTAGTTCCCACTGCACCCTGTGGCTGGGCTAGGCAGGCAGAACCACACTGCAGGATGCACACCGAGGAAGAAAGCTTAGGCCTTTGCCTCCCGCTGGGGAGGAGAACCTAGAGCCGGCCCTCAGGCATGGCCATGTGAGCAGCCTCACAGGCAGTGAGGAGGCCAGCTGCACCTTTCTGAGGAACCCACGACAGCAAAGGAGGGAACGAGCAGAGTGGGGAGGCTGGGAGTCAGCAGACCAAAGTGACCTCAAGAGGAGGTGTCAAGGTCTGGGGTCTGGCAGCCAGCTCAGAGGTATTTAGTCCTCCATGCAACCTGCATTGATGGAACACCTGCTGTATGCAAGGCACGGCGCTAGAGATGAGGACCCAAAAGACAGCAATCCCTGCCCTCCTAACGCTTCCACTTGGGATAGAGGTGAACGAGCAACAACAAGGTTAACCCATCGTCCAGCCAAGTGGCCTATTAAAAGGAGATGAGAACTACGGAGAAAGACAGGCAGCACCAGGAGGACGGGAGGGGCGGCAGTGGGGTGGGGAGCAGGGTGAAATTCTGCATGGATCCCAGGGAAGAACTCACAGAGGCGGAGACAGCAGGGACTGGAGGAGGGGAGAGTGAGCCTCACAGATGAGGGAGAGTGCCCCTTGCAGCAGTTGGGAGGCTCCAGGGGAGAAGGTCAAGCAGCCAAGCAGCGGAATGGAAAGCCCAGGAGTTGCTGAGCAAGGATCAGAGCAAGGGGACACTCAGACGCCCAGCTGAGAGTGCGGGGATGAAATGAGGAGAGATGCATAGCAAGCAAAGCCCCGAACCACCAAAAAGTCAGTCAGCAACTCCAGGGGAAGCAAAATATCGGACAGGAAAGGCTAAGGCAACGCTTCCCTAACTGGGCTGTGCTGTGTGTTGACACAGGCCTAATGCAGAAAACGTGCACCACGGATCTGACCAGACTGCAGAGCACCGTCATGACCTGCCACCCAGAGGGCAGGATGCAGGGCACAGAGGGAGAGAGAGCCCACAATTCCCCTCCTCTGAGGCAAGAAGCCAATACAGACGTCCACAAGGGGAATATCAAGGGGTGGAGCCAAGCATGCACTTGGGAACTCTGCAGGTGAATACTCCAGGGGCACAGGGGCCTCCGGGGGAGTAAGGCAGGGGAGGGGAGTCACTGTTTCTCTAGACCATAGAAGTCACGGGCTCTTGAAACTATCTGCATGAATAACTTTGATACAACCAAAAACTAGAAGGGGAGGAGGGAAGAAGGAAAAAGGCAAGATGGCCCTGCCTGCTGAAGTCCCCATGGCAGCCAGGGCCTACAAAGAGGGAGCAGAGCAACTGGATGAGGACTGGAGCGGGAAGCTGCCTGGAGGCGGTGGCCCTGGACAAACACCTGGAGGGTGTCAAGGGAGGAAGAGAAAGGCCTTCACTCTGCCTCTCAGGAGCCTACTCCTGCTCAGGCCTCCTCCTAGTCAAGGACCACAGGCAGCCCCCAACCCTGTCCCCCTTGACAGTGGGCCTGTCTGTCCAGTCCCTACAGCAGACAGATCCAGGCTAGCTACTGTAATCCCCTGGCTCTCAGAGGGAGCCCTGCCTTCCCCGACCCCCACTCGCCCTTCTGTCTTTACCTCCTCCTGGGCACTTGTCCTTTGGCCTCTGGCGTTTGCATATGCTGTGTATCCTCCCTCCTCCTTATTGTTCAGGTTTCATTTAAGAAACCCCCTGCTCCAGGGACTGTCCCTGATCCCCCAGGTCCATCCTTTCAACTTAGTCCCCTAAAACACAAAAACAAAGGGAGCAGAGTGCTTCTAGAGATAGCAAGAAAACCCTACCACCGACAGGGAGCTCTGGATGCCCCAGAGCCTGCACTGCCCACTAAACAGTCCCGGAGGATGGAGGAGAAGATGGGACTAGGATGAGGCCCTGGTGGGACCCTGGGTACTTACGCGGGTGCCCCTCCCTCACACGTTTCCAGAAGGGCCCGCTTAGGGAAATGCTTAACCAAGGACCTTAAAGGTGGCTTTTCAGCAGCCAGTGAGGGTGAGCATCCTCCCCCACAGGGCTCCCGGCCACGGCTTTCCCTCAGCCTGAGCACTCCCTCTCCTGCGGCTCCCAGAGCTAGGCCCTCCTCACCAGCTGTAAATAACAGACACACTGAGAGAACATGTCACAAAACCACGGACACATTTCACAACACGTAGTCTCTTGCTATGAGCCTGGCATTTACATCTGCGGAGTTGGTGCCTCGGGCAGTGGGGTAGACGCACAGCTCTGCCCCTCTTCCCAGCCCTGTCTGCCCAGAGAGGGGCCCTGGGCTCAAAGGGCCTGGACCGAGTGGCTTCCAAATGGGGTTTCCAGGCTCAAGAGCTGTGCGCCTGCAGTTCTTAGTCTGTGGAGCCCCAATTTAGGGATCTGGCCTCAGGGACTTTCCAGGGAGCATCTTTGCCTTGGATTCTGTGCCAGAGTTTCCAAGCCCAGCCCAGGGATTGGGATTTTTAGGGCACTAATTCTAGAAGTTCTATCGTGAGATGGGGAGCAAGTCCTGAGCTTGAGGTTCTCATCTGGGAGCTTTTAAAGAAGAGTCACCCTGGGCCCCTCCAACTGAGGGGCTGGTGTGACCTTCCGGGCCTCATCCACCTCTGCTTACTCCCTAGTTTTTGCAGAGACTTCCCACACTGTTGAAGGACCCTCAGTCAGTGGGGGCTCCAAACCAAGTGCCCCATGTGTTCAGGAGCAGGGATGAGAGGGGAGTACTCAAATAGGCAGGTCACACGGCCCTCATGCTGCGGGCACTGCTGCACACAGCCAGTGTCAGAAACCAGAGAGGGCTGTAGCTCACAAAGGCCACACAGCAGTGCTGGGCCAGCCAGCAGGTCCAAGTCCAGGTCCCAGTGATGCCTCTACCCCAGGTCCAGAGAACCAAGAAGGAAGTGAGGTGGAAATCAAGATGAACCCAGCTCCTTTCCCAGTACACACACACTCCACTATGTCCTCACCCAAGGTCTGTCAAGCCTCAGAAGTCTTTTGGGCAACTTGGCTGGCCTAACTGGGATAGCCCAACCCAGTTAAGGGGCTGGCTGGGCCCTGTTATATACCCAAGGGGGACTGAGACCCACGGGCTGGCCATGCCCCCAGGACGGAGTGGGAAGGGCAGGCCTGAGGGACATCCAGAGAACAGGAAGTTTGGCCCAGCTGGGCCCATCCTCCAGGAAGCCCTAGGGAGCCCACGCTGCTTCCCTGCCCAGGAGCAGCCTGAGTCGGGTAGCGAGCTACCCCCTCCATGGCAGCATACCCCTCAGCATTGAGGGAGCCCCAGCAGTGGGCAAACCCTGTGCGCTGTGAGCCCCGGCCCGACAGCCCATTCCGGAGAAGGGCTGACCATTGAAAGGTCTTATTTGTCATAAATACAAATGTTTGTTCCTGTGAAAAGCACAGGCTCTTTAAAGATAAAGATCCTGGCGTTCCTTGGTGTATATGCCCAAGGCCAGGGCCAGTCCACAGTAGGCACTCAGGAAATGAATGAACAAATGAATGGACATTTCCTTTATACTATCCCCACTGAAGGATCAACAGAGGACTTTATGCAGCAGCCTTTCAGCCACACGAATGTTCTCTCTGCTGATAGCACTCTCCATCACTTGTGCTCTTAAAACCTTGTTTTGGAGATGTTCAGAATTCCATCCAGGAATTAGGGTTGGGTTTTCTGCAGAGGGTTATTCACCTTCTTCTAACAGAACAGAACCTCCCAGTTCTCATCTTAAGCTACCTCACAGCAAATTTTCTGGATTTCTATATATAAAATAAATCATTTAACAAAAAAATCTGTATCTACAGTGTATGGAACAAAAGAAGATTTCAAAGCCCATTAACTCACAGAGATGGTATGTTACTGGGAGAATATGGGCTGTATAATTAAAACAATTTAAATCCAATTATAAGAAGACAGTGGGCTTTACTGCCTGCCACCATCTCACTAATGGAAAGAAACCCAATATCTTGAGTTTTCTAAAATTACTGTAAAATTATGAATTAGAACACATAGGTACCATCGCTCCACTGCTCTGTATTACTGATAAAATGAGATGAAATATTCCTTGCAGAGAAATATTCCTTGCAGAGAACATAAGCCATTGTTGGCTCAGAGCTCTGCTGGGCATACACAGCCTCTGGTGGCTGAGGCCCCCAAGGTGGGAAAGGAGGTGGTCAGCCAGTGTGAGAGGGTATCCTTTCTGGAGATCCCAGCCTTGAAGTTAATGAGGCGTGAATCCCCACATCTCCCTAGTGAACCATGGCACCCTGTGTCTGATGAGAGAGAATCGCTGTCATGCAGGGGGATGGACAGAATGACAGTCATGGCCCAGCCAGGGACCCCGCCTTGTGCAGCACAAGTGTGTATTTCAGTCTGAACTGGGGGAGAATGTCCAGAGCTGTGATGAAGGAAATCAACAGTGAGAGCACCCCCACTAGCCAATCACCTGCTGGGAGCTGGGGTGGGAAAGCACGTGGCCACGCCTGGCCCTTGGCGTTCCATCTCTGTGTCATGAAGGGCCACCGTTCATTGGCTGGCCCTGGCCGCCCCTTGGCACCACCCAGGAAGCTCTTAGAGAATACCAGTGCCTGGGCCCTTGCCCAGCTTGTTAAATCAGGCTCTCTGGGGTGGAGCCTGGGCACTGACACTTGACTGAATTCCTGGGGCCTGGGTCTGCTGTGCCCACAGTGGCTGGCACTGGGTCAACCCTCAAGAGACATGTGGGCAGGGAACAAATGGGCACCCACTGTATGCACACCATGTCTTCAGACTCTCAAAACAATTCTTCAAGGTAGATGTGAGTATCCCCATCCTACAGATGAGGAAACTGAGGCTCAGATATGTAGAGGAACATGCACTGACTCGCACAGCCAATAAGAGGCAGAAGAGGGACTCAGCCCAGCCACAGCACTGTCCAGTGTCAAAGATGATTCAGAGACTTCGCCCTATCCCACCTGCCTTCCCCCCAGCCAAGACTGGCCCACATGTGCCCCACACTGGACCAGAAGCTAGGGGAGGAGCAGGGACCAGCAAGAGCCAGGTGCTGCCTCTGAGGCCGTGGTGGTCTAGCAATGCCACCAGGTGCTGGGGAGAAATGGAGCACAGCCCCTCCTATACCAGCCTCTTTTGGAGCCAAAGTACACTTGTAGGATATAATTTACACACACCAGGAAAGCCCTGTCTTGACACCTGAATTTTACCATTAGGTCATTCTAAGAAGTCTAGCAGAATTTGGGTCTCTAGACAACTCTTGTGGCCCATGTCACATCCTCTCAGCCACCTCTCCTCCTGTTGCTGTGGTGACTGGCTGCATACGGGCATCCCTGGGCAGCCCTCATCTCTGCTCAGCAGGGGGCTCTCTGCTGGCACCAGGCGGGAACTGCCCAGCCAAGCTGCTGCACAAACCTGGAATACCTGGGAAGGGAGCAGCACCGGGTCCCTCTGACCAGTGAGGAGTGGGCTGGTGGATAAATGCTCCCACTTTCCCTGCCCGGATGGACAATCCAGATGCATTTTTTTGTGGTTCCCTGGAGGGCCCCAGCAGGAATGAGCCCCAGTGGCCCACGGCAGTGACCAATCAGACTGGCCTTCCCTCCCGCCCTGATTCACACTTCCTCTTCCCTTGGCACATGTTCCAAAGTCCACTGCTGGTGCATGAGCCTTCATCTCAGATGTCTGACATGAGACATCTTCATCTTCATGTCTGCATGGAGGGGCCTCGAGCTGCCATATGTTATGAAATGCAGGTACCCTTGTCATAAGCCAGCACCATCTCAACAGTATATGTAATAAAGTCACTCAGAGTGGTGCAGCTTGGGTGGACAGGAACAGGGGACCCTGGGGTGGAAAAGAGAGAGGCCTGGGTCTATCAGACCTACCACCAGGCCTTGGGCAAATTTGGGGGTCTAAGCCCTGCTTCCCATCCAGGGAGAAGCCAGCTAGCCTAGCAGCCTGGTCCTCCTCTCCCCTCTCTGTGGCAGACCAGGCATCTGTGGCCATGGGAGGCAGAAGCCAGGCTTAGGGATGGGCCTCAGCCATGTAGAAGTCCTGAAACCTCCAAGAATGGTACGCGCTGCACCTGGGATCCTCAGGGAGCGGCCCTGAATCCAGAGCACAGATGCCTGCAGAGGCAGGGGTTGGGGGAGCTGACTAGCCTGTGCAATTCTGCCATCCCCACAGGCCTCTCTCCTCACAGCTTAAGGGCCTAGATGGAGGCACATGGCTCTGAGCCCCAGCGATGTCCCCTCCAGTGGCCCACATCCTAGATCCTTTGATGCTCAGGGGTTCAGTCCTGAGCCACTTCTGCCTGTACCAGAGGGAAGCCCTAAGGCCCCTGCAGACTTTGCCAGGATGTCAGCACCTCCTCCATCTATGCCCAGGGACCCTGGACAGCTCACCTCTGAGCCCTAGCTCCAGCTATGCCACTGCCTGGAGTGCCTGCCTCCCTTTCTTCACCTGACCAACCACTGTTCCACACTTAAGACTCAGCTCAGAAGTCACTTCTTCCAGGAAGCCTCCCCTGGTTAACCCCAAGCCCAGGCTAGGTTAGGCACCACCCCTGTGCTCCCACACCCCTGGGCAGGCTTCATTCTCTTGTAGCATGCTTCACATTCTTAGGCCACTCGTCTGTCCCTGCCACACCCAGCTAGTGGCCATAGTATGCAGAGTGTCCAGACACGCTGCTGGGTGTGGCCTGCCAGGGCAACTCCAGCACATGGGTTCTGCCAGCTGGAAACACCGTCTCCGCCCCAGCCCACCTTACACCCCTTAAGAAGGCTCACGTTTCTTCTTGGACCACCACCACCTGCTTTCTCCAGCTGAAATTAATAATTTTAAAGTAATTAAGTCCAGCAAACCATAACCGATTAAGTAGGGACTGGTGCTGGCTGGCAGAGCTGCCATAGCCTTATCTCTGCCCAGGCCTGTGTTTGGAGGGCAGCTGGGTGGGGCCTGGCCCCAGGTCCACCCCCTCCAGGCCCTGACCATCCTGTAGCAGAGATAAACGTCTCTGAGTAGCCAGCCGCCTAATGAGACTGTCAGGGGACTTCTTAATGAGATTAGGCAGGGCCCTAGCTTTGCCTCACAGTGCTAGGACTTCTATTCAATTAATCGTTCAGAGCGGAGCAGACGCTGCCCAGGAGGCAGGAGCCAGGCCTTTGCTGATAAGGCAGCCACCTCCCAGCAGCAGCCCAGCTTCCCGAAGTCCACGGCAGCCCCAGGCATTGGCCCCACTAGGCAGAAGGATAAACAGAGGCTGGCCAGGAGGATGGGGCAAGGCTGCTGGCCCAGGACTCCTCCTTGTCCCTTGGAACCTGGAGGGAGCTCTCAGGGTTCCCCACAAATGTGCCTATTGGGAGGAATAAAGCAGAGATCCCCACCCACAATGTATGCATGGGGTAAGGAGAGGCCTCCCGGCTGGGGAAGACTGAAACCAGGTACAAGAGCATACATGGCAGCTACATAGTGAGGGCTATGTGTGAGAGGCCCAGGCCCGGTACCCTGCGTGAACGCTGAGCACAGGTGTCATCCTGCGGGCTGGCACATGTCCCTTACCCCAGAAAGCCTACCCTAACTGCCCAGCCCCACCCTCCTGCCCTGCCCCACCCACCCATGGACATACCACAGAGCTCAAAGCCTGGCCCTTCCCCTCCTTACTCTCCTGTCCCCAAAGAGCTTTCCAGCCAGCACTGTTTGGGTCTCCTGGAGCTCTCCGGAACAACTGTCACCAGGTGTTGCCCTGAGGCTCCCAGTCCAATCCCCCCTTAACGTGACAGGCCACATTCCAAGTGCCTGTGGCAGAGAAGCCCCCAGCTGGACACTGCTGCAGTCTCGGCATCCTTTCTCTTCCTCTCCAAGTGACCCCACCCCCATCTACCGTGCCTCTTTCACTCTCAGTCCAGGGACTGGGCAGCCCCCACCAGTCTGACAATCAGGGTGTTCTACTCCTTGGGCACCAGGATTGATTCGGGGAGGAAGTGATTCAGCCCCATACCAGCCCAGTGAGCTGAAGTCCTGGGACTCCTGTGAGACTCTTGTTAAATAATCCCCCTCTTCCAGGGGCAAGTGGCCAGGGGGCTGGGCTCATTAGACATCAGCCTGCAACAGGCAGGAGGCTGCCCAGGAAGGAAACCACACAGGAGAGAGCAGGGACAAGGGGTGTGGAGACGGAGGCAGAGTCCTGTGGATACCATTTGGGCCTTGGATCCAGCCATGCCTGAAGCGATGCAGCCTCTGGCCTTTTCTATTACATGGCCTAATAATGATCCCTGTTTTGCTTAGGCCCAAATGAGAGTTTCTGACACCAGCATGATTATTATGACTCACATGGAGGGTGATTTCAGACCCACAGCAGGTTTCCCTGGAGGTGATAGTCTCAGATGGTCCGCTTTAGCATTCTGACAAACACACACGTGGGCCACAACTTCCCCACAGGCCATGAGAGGCAGAAACCCCTATGTGCCACAGGGTGCGAGGCCCGGCCACCTTCCCCATGGTCCCAGTGGGGACCTCCCAGCATATCTAGACAGGCTCCCCCAGGAAGGGACTCTCTGGGAAGATGACCCCTGGACCACCTATCACTGGGGTCTCAGTCCAACAGCCGGTGTGCACTGTGAGCTCTCTGGGACACACAAGTGTGCATGCAGTATGTGTGTGCAGGTCCTCGTGTGTACTTGTCAGAGGTCCAGTCAGGCAGCCACTCAACAAACATTTGCTCCACCCCTGCATGTGCCTAGGCCTGTACAGGCCTGGGAGTCCCAAGATGAGGAGTTCATGGTGCTGGTGCTCACAGACTTCAAAGGTGCATGTAGAAGCCAGACACCAAAGATACAATGAATGGCATGACAGCAATGAGGCGGCCCCGGCCCGGGCAGAGGAAGCAGAGCGGCCAGGAAAGGCCTCCTGAAGAGCGTACAGAACTGAGACTGGGATGAGACGGGGCTCTGCGGCACAGGGTGGATGGGTGGAGGCAACCAGGAGAGAGCAGACTGGATGCCAGGCCAGAGGCCAGACCACGAGGACTTGAATGCTGAGCACAGGTGTGACCCTGCAGGCCAGCAGCCACAGGGGCCTGGTGTCGGGAAGATGCCCTGGGGAGCTCTGAGGGGCAAGGCTGAGTGGGGGCCCATCTGCTATGTGCCAGTGCCTGGACTGGCATGCAAGAGTCCCAGCACATCCACGCACGTAGCACGTCCACGTGACAGCGTCCCAGGGCAAGGCCAAGGCAGAGCCACATGCATGCCCCTGCTGGCTGCACCTGACATCCAGGAGCTCCCGGAAGCATTCACCAGTGCCGATCAGTGCGTACTGAGACTCATCACAGACCTCGCTGTCCTGCCTTTAACAATGTTAATTTTCTTGGCAGGAGCTAAGTAGCCTAAAGCAGTGGATCCCATCCTGGCTGCACTCATGCAGGCTTCTCCTAAGAAAGCTTGAGCATGTACAACTACAGAGCTTCAAAGCCCTTCTAGCCCCTGCTCACCAGGAAGGGTCCAGCTCCTGCTTCCTCAGAGGCCCGCGTGGTGGCAGCAGTGGCTGCTGGCTATGTCCTCACAGACAGGCAATGGTCAGCAGCTCCTGGAGTGCGGAGGGAGGCACTGGTGGGAGCTGGTGGGCAATACCTCCCTGCCAAGCTCACGGCTGTCAGGCTCACTGCCCTAGACCTGCAACAGCTCCTCCCCTTCCCGGCCAGGGACCCTTTCCCCTGCCCTGGCCAGAAAGAGGCAGTGGCCAGGACCATGTCAGCCCCATTTCACCCATGGAGGCTGCTGGGGGAAGAGGGGCTCCTAAGCCACCAGAAAATTCCCAGGTGGGAGAAGAGAAGAGAAACCCAAGTTCTGGTGCACAAGCTTATACCGCCAGCACCTGGAGCCCGGGTGAGCTTCTATTTCTTCTGCACGACTTCTCCACTCACCCCCAACTACCCTCTCCCGCCCACACAGGCACACCTCAGGCATACAGAGGCATGGGGCCTCCAGAACTTTCCCACTCCAGCCAGTGAGTGTTGGAAACATCTCCAGCGTGGTTCTCCCCTTTGCACATGGCCTTGGAAGCCCTCATATAAATAGCCATTACCAGGGAGAGGCAGTGCCATCAGCTCTCATCTTTTCTTGCCAGAAAGATCTTCAGTGCAGAAGCTGACCAGGAGGGAAGGGCTAGCACAGGCAGACCTACAGGGGGCAGGACAGGGCTGCTATACATGCAGCTGTGCGACCCCAAGTGGTCCTGAGAAAGAACACCGGACAAGGAGCAGCAGCATGCAGAGGTTGCAGAGAGCAGAGTTCCCATGAGTCCCTCCATCCTGTTGCCCATCCAAGGACTTTTACTGAACACCTCCAACCAGCCACATACCAGGCTTGGCTCTGGGGACTTGGCAGTAAACAAGACAGACACTTCTCTGCCCTCACAAACCTGATGGCCCTCACAAATAAATTAATAACATCATTGCCGACGAGGACGCCTACAAAGAAGGAAAAGAACATTTTGGTAGAGTAATAGGGGCCCTACTTGGAGCCAAGGGGAGCTTCTCTGAGGAGGTAAGATCAGAGGCATAGCCAAAGGCCAAGAAGGGGCCCAGCATGCAAAGAGCCTTCCAGATAGTAGGAACAGCATGTGCAAAGGCCCCAGGGTAGATGCATGCTTGGGTTGTTGGAGAGATGGGGAAAAGGCCAATGTGGCCAGAGCAGTGAGGTCAAGAGAAGTGGCGGCTAAGACACAGGTAAGTTCAGCTTTTGTCGGGGTCCTTGGGGACTTGCAGCCCTGGCAAGGGGTCTGGATTTGATTCTTAGTGCAATGGGGAGCCATTGAAGGGTTTCAGCAGGAGAGGGAGGTGGTTAGGTTGATTTTTCAGATAACTCTGGCTGCTACATGGACAATGGCCTGGAGGGAAGGGCAGAGGCAGGGGGACACGGGGAAGTGACCTCAAGTGTCCAGGCTGGGGCTGGGGAGATGGCACTGGAGGTGGAGAGAACCACACAAAAGCCAGGTGCGTAGTGGGAGGCCCAGCACATACAAGGAGAGCACCGGCTTGGCTGCCAGTCCTTCACATTCCCTAAGCAATCCCTGCTTCACTTTGCTTTCTGTGTCATTCCCTGTACTGCCCAGGATTGTCCTGAGATGATGCCCAGACAGCTCTGGGCAGTTTGTAATGTATTGGTAGACACCTCTGCCTTTTTTAAAATTGATGTTTAGTAATTGTACATATTTATGGGGTACAGAGTGATATTTCAATACATGCGTACAATGTGTAATGATCACATCAGGTAATTAGCATATCCATCACCTCAAACATTCATCATTTCTTTGTGTTGAGAACATCCAAATTCCTCTCTTCTAGCTGTTTGAAAATATACAATAAATTGTTGTTAATTATAGTCACCCTGCAGTGCTCTGGACCACTAGAACTTATGCCTTCTAACCAGCTGTAACTTTGTGTCCCTTAACCATCTTCTCCCTATCTTCCCTCCCCCTGCCCTCCCCAGTCTCTAGTAACCTGTATTCCACTCTCTACTTCTATGAGTTCAATGTGTTTAGCTCCCACATGAGTGAGAACATGCAGATGCCTCTGCTTTTGAACAGGCAATCACCAGGAGCCTGCAGTACAGCAGATGCTGCCAAGCTCACTGCATTCCTTTACCCAGTGAGATTCCTGGGCCAGCTGCAAGCGCCACTCAGGTGACTGTCCATGAGGCTTCTACAATGAAAGGAGGATCAGCTGAAATGGCTCCAGGACCCCAGCCGACTCCGGCATCCTGTGGCTCCGTGAAACATGCACAAGACGGTGTATGTGGATAGAAAAAGTGCGCAGGACTGAGTCAGGTACAGACACACACGGGCTAATGGGATTTCTGGGATTCTTGCAGCACACATAGGAGCTGGTCTGTGACCCAGGGTCAAGCCACAGGGCAGGCTGGGGAGGTGGGCTGAGGGATCAATGGGTCCAGCCTGCTGGACATTTCTGAGGTCGGTGAGGGCAGCACAGGCCCCCCTACAAGGTGGCTGGGGCTGGGAAAGACAGCCAGCCCTCTAGAAAGTAGGCATGAGATTCGCAGAGCTCTGAGCACACAGGACTAAAGGAGCCAGTGTACAGACCGCATTTGGAGTCAAATAGCCAGCTGCATGAGCATTGGCAGGGGTGTCTGATGCACCCCCTTCTCTTGGGAGAAGATCCCAGGGCCTGAGGATCAGAGGCTCACCCACAGCCACAGCAAGCAGTGATTTGGGAAGCCAGTGTCCTCTTGGGCTTCATCAACATCAGCAGAGCATCCAGAACAAGCAGTGACCATCCCCATCCCTCTGCACTGGCCAGGTGACATCATGAGAACAATAACTGTAGCTGTTCTTTACTGAGCACCTCCTTGGTGCCAGGCACATGCTAAGTCCTCTGTAATCATTACTTCATTTGTTCCCGAAGTCAGCCCATTAAGTGGGGGCACCAGTATCCCAAGTGTACAGGAAGGAACACTGAGGCTCTGTGAATTACGTCCCTTGTTTAGGTACACCAGGGACCCTGTGTGTAAAGAGGGGCAGTGACAAAAGGGGCCAGGCGTGATGGCTCACGCCTGTAATCCCAGCACTTTAGGAGGCCGAGGCGAGCGGATCACAAGGTCAGGAGTTAGAGACCAGCCTGACCAACATGGTGAAACCCCGTCTCTACTAAAAATACAGCTCAGCATAAAGACTGGTTCGAGATGAGAGTCACCCATCCTCAGAGGTACATGGATCTTCAGCTCATGTGGTCCAAGGCTGGATTTGAGAAATTTGGGCACTGTAGCCCTAAGAAGGCAGGGCTGGTCCACGCTCCCTCAGGCAGTCAGTGCCTGGCCAGGTCTAGCCCCAGGCCAGGGTTTGCTCACAGCCCTTCCCCTCCTGTCTTAGTCTGCTCTGGCTGCTAAAACAAAACACCATAGACAGGTGGATTAAACAACAGACGAATTTATTTTCTCAACAGACAGTTCTGGAAGCTGAAAGTCCAAGATCAGGGTGCCAGCATGGTTGGTTCCTGATGAGGGCTGTCTTCCTGGCTTGCAGATGGCTGCCTTCTTGCTGCATCCTCACACAGCAGAGAGACACAGCAAGCTCTCCGGTGTCTCTTCTTATAAGGCCACTAATCCCATCATGAGGGCCCCACCCTTATGACCCCATCTAAACCTAATTACCTCCCAAGGCCCTGCCTGCAATGCCATCACATTGGGGGTTAAGGGCTTTGACATCATATTAGGGAAAACAAACATTCAGTCCATAACACTTCTAGACCTTCCCCCAGTCTGGCCTTGGTTTTGCATGGCCCCCTCAGCTCTGGACACAAGAACTCTGGCATCTGCTGACCTGTATAGCTGAGACCCCAAGAGGGCCACTCCCTGGGGTGGGCAGGCAGACTGGCTCCCTCTCATCCCACTAGCATGATGCTGAGATGCTACAGGGGACACTGACAATGAAAAAACACCTAAGGTGCTGTCCACAGCCTCCTCCTGACCTTGGCCAAGTTAAGTGACCACCACTGCAATGACCATCCCATTGGATGATCTCTGAGAGCCCTGAGGTCAGGCCTACACATCTGAGGCCAGGAACGTGCCCCAGGAGGGAAAGGAAAATGTGTTTATTGAGTGTGCACTACAAACTGCCCTTAGAGCTGAGGATACCACAGGGAACAAAAGCGACCAAGTCCCTCCCTCCCCACAGCCCACAACCTCCAGAAGACGTCACCGACAAGTCAAAGGAAACACAAGGCAAGGGGAGCACATGACCAGGCCAGTCTCCTGTGGGTGCTGGGATGCACCCTGAGGATGCCACCTCCCAACTGGGACCTCACGTGAGTCCAGGAGGAGTCTGAGGGGGCCAGCGGAGCTCTGAGCAGCAGCTGGAAGTCTTGGCTCTTTCTGCTAAACATGCCCAGGCAGCATGGGTGTCTGCAACAGTCTCCTTGTGTATGTATGCATGTGTGTACATACACATCTGCTCAGCACTGCCCACCACACCAGAGCCCCCAGAAGCCCTTTGGAGGGCTGAGCCATCACACTGCTGGACTGTCCAGGGCACCTATGGCCATGTTCCTCCCGTTCCAGCAGTGTGATGGCTCAGCCCTCCAAAGCCTTTATCAGGTGCACAGTAGATATGCCCTGAGCTGAGGCTCAGGTCCCTTCACAGAGCTGGGCCCCAGCAGCAAGCCTTGGGCCAGCTCCAGTTGGGGTTCTGTGATAAGGAGAGACCCACCCTCAGCTCTCCAGGCCCAGGCTGGCAAACTGCAGGACTTGGGGACGGCCCACGGGGTTGTTTTAGTTACGAGAGCCCTGTGGGAGAGGTGAGTGAGGGCAGGTACCCTGGGAGCCTCCTGGGACACAGGAGGACCAGCATTGGATGTTACAGCCATGGCAGGGAAGGAGTTAGGAGCCCTAGAGCCCAGCCAAATCAAGGCCACCTCAGCATCTGACACTGGCCACTGGAGATGGGGCACTGTTGGGAGGGGGGCTCGGCCCAGAGCTCAGGTCAGGTCTCAGAGCTTTGAGCCCAGAGCCCAGACCAGAGGCCAGAGTGGGGCCACTCCATGGCTCACCACACCTCTGGGCACTCAGATGAAAAGGCAGAAGGCCCACGGCCCCAGGCCAGGAGCGGACCCATGGCAGGACCTCAAGTCTCCACCTTGGACTGAGAAGGAAGAGCGCCATGGGGGACAGACAGCAAGAAGACAGCCTTCCAGGCCAGGCCAGGACCCAGTTTATAGGGGCACAGGCCACAGCAGAGCCAGACCATGGGTGGGCTGGGCCCAGAGCTCCAGGCAGCAAGGCCGGTGTCTCAGCCCGGACCTGGGGGTTGCTAGCACCCAGACAGGACCCAGAGACCAAGAGGTGTCGTGTACCTTGGCAGGGTCCCAGGAGGATGGAAAACATGGTGGCCGGGACACAACAAGAACGAATGCCTGCTGAGCATACTATGTGCCGGCACCCACGCCCTCAATGGGAGAATGAGCCCCAAGGCGCTAAGCACCCCTCTCTCGGGCGCCATGGTGGACTGTTGCTCACCACAGCCTCCCTCCTGCTGGCCATACGTCCTCTCTAGATCCACCACCACAACCCCAAGGCAGGCCCATTTCACAGATGTTGAGACTGAGGGTCAGAGAGGGAATGCGATCTGTTCAAGACCACACAGATAATCAATCAGATTTGGGAACTGAACCCACACCTTTCCACCTGACCCCTTTCCACCAAATAGAGCAAGGTAGGCCTGCCCTATGGCCAGGTCCCGGGGAGGCAGGGGCAGGCCAGTGGGATTCTGGCCACTCTATGCACTCAGAGCAGACAAGGCCACAGTAAGATGGAAATACCGTGCCGTGACAGGCCACAGGTTCCCAGAGCCCCAGCCTATACAGATGGCTCCGAGCAGCCTCCATATGAGCCATGTCGTCAACACTAACCTCCTTCCCTGCTCTCTTGAGACACCCAGAATGGCTGGGGCTCAACTCCAAGCTGCACATCTCCCCCGCCCTAAGTGGGGCCAAGGCTGTGGGAACCTGCTCACACTGCCCAGCCCAGAACAGGAAGTGAGAGGAGGACAAGTCTCCACCACAGACCACTCAGGCTAGTAAGATCACAGCGACCTCCACCTCTTCACCCAGCCACTGCCCTGTGCTCACCCTGGGCTGGGCTATTCTAGTGCATTTCCTCAACTGATCCTCTCAGCTGTCCTCTATTCCATTTTACAGTCAGGGAAACCGAGGTTGCCCACCCAGAGTCAGAAAG